>NC_000015.10:94168550-94320066 GCF_000001405.40 Homo sapiens | reverse complement strand
GATAAAGGTATATGTTTTATAAAGGTAAAATCTTATAAGATTGAGGTGAGACAGAGCTTATGCCTGTGAAAAACATAAAAGACTGCATAGGACAAATGCCATCTGAGTCTGTATTGAAAGATACTTCCTATTGCAACAATAAGCTATTGGTTTAGTATCTACAGAATTGGAGAACACGTTATAAAGACTAAATATTGTAAATGCATAGATAAGCCAAAAACATGTTATAGTTAGTACTTTAGCATATCACACAGTTTCTTAAACCTGTTTTAATTGGGTTAATACTAAATTAAATTATATTCCAATACAAATTAAGTAAAGCTGAGACCAATGACAGACAGCAAACAGGTAATGAGAAAAAGCCCCAGGAAAATACAATGTCTGGCTAACATAATCAAGAGTTGAAACTCTACCTCTAAGGAGAAGCATGGGTTTCTTCTCATGTGCCGACACCCACCTGTGACAGGGACTGCCTAGAGCAAAGGTTCTCCAAGTGTGGTTCCTGGGCCAGCAGCATCAGCCTTACCTGGGAACTTGTTAGAAACGCAAATTCCCAGGCCCCACCCCAGACACACTGAATCAGAGAGTCTGTGTGCGGGGCTCAGAGATGTGCATTTTCATTAGTTCCTAAGACTCTTCTGAGGCTCATTCAATTTTGAGAACTATTGGTCCAAAGGATTGTGTTAGATAAAACTTCTGAGTCTGGGTTGGGTTTTGTAGAAAATAATGCTGTATTGAAAAGTGACGCTGTACCTAGGCAAAGGAGGCAGGAGTGAGGGAGCACATGTATTAGTAATGAGGACCCCTTCTTGAACCCACAGTAGACACTCAAATGCCGTCTTGCCCTGAGCAGGCTCAAGATCATACCTTCATCTTAATACTTGTGATAATCAAACAGAAGTTGACATAGTCAGAGCATAGGAAGGCATCCCCAAGGTATAAAAATGAAATAAAAAATGTTGAAAGAGTGGGGTATTTTCTTAACAGATAACAATAAAGCATCCCCAAAATGAAAGAAAAAAAAAAAAACCAAGAACAATTACTACTGGTTTCAAAAGAAATGGGGACTGAAACAGCACAGTTTATGACCTAGACTCCTTATTAGGTATTTACATTTGGATTATATTAGGTTTGCACAAAATAAAAGCCAAATTCTCACATGATGTTTTGACTGTGATGAAACTCTGCAGAGAGAGATGACAATGGCTGGGGTTAGAGCAGACTTTGGTCTTGAAACAGCAAGATATGGAGCAAGTGCACATAAGCCCTATTGTATCATTTTCCGATGTGTGCAACGGCTTCATCATCTAATCAGTGTACTGACCATCTACTCGGAATCTGCTGTAACTGCATCAGTTTGATAGAGAAGTATAGTATTGCCTGACAGCAGTGAGGGAGAAAGAACTAGAAAAAAATGGAGAAAGCTAGAAAAGGAGTAGTTGGCCAACAGAAGAGGTCCAGGGCCTGTATATATCCCTAAACTTAAAAACTATTGGCCGGGCGTGGTGGCTCACACCTGTAATCCTAGCACTTTGGGAGGCCAAGGTGGGCAGATCACAAGGTCAGGAGTTTGAGACCAGCCTGGCGAAACTCCGTCTCTACTAAAAATACAAAAATTAGCTGGACATGGTGGTGCGTGCCTGTAATCCCAGCTATTTGGGAGGCTGAGGCAGGAGAATCGCTTGAACCCAGGAGGCGGAGGTTGCAGTGAGCTAAGATTGTGCCACTGCACTCCAGCCTGGGCGACAGAGCTAGACTCCGTCTCAAAAAAAAAAAAAAAAAAAAAAAAAAAAATTTTTTTTTTGAAGAAATTCCATAAATGTAAAACAGGACATGTAGCTTGAGAACATTTTCTTCCTAGTAATGTAAAATACACACTCTCTAGAACACTCTTCTACTCGCCAGAGAAATGGTTACAAAATGAATTTGATAATCATTTTTGACAAAAGTAACCACTGGACACTGTGCCGGATCAGGGTAAGAATCAGGATATCTGTGGGAGGCACCCCTACACTGGTTTATGATTACATCTTTCAGATATTATTTCAGGCATAAAATGCTATCTGCCCCAAGCCATTAAAAAGAACACAAGAGATGCAGTTGTAAAAATAGATACATTTATAATAATAATAGAAATGAGAAGGGATACACTTGATAGGTAAGAAATTATGACTTTGATTAAAAAAAACTATTTACCAACAAGTAGGCAATAATTTTTTCACTATTTTAAAATGCTACATCTGAGAAAACATGAGCAAGAGAGAGAGAAATTTTAAGAAAAAAAAGGACATACTTCATACAGTTCTGAAAGATGAAAGCCACATGAGATCAGTTCATGAAAGAATCCATATCCAGAGACATGAGCAGTAGAGAGTCACAGCAAAGATGTTTCTGGGTAGTGGTGGAGTGGGAGGGTAGGAGGGTGGAAGGGTGTATGGCAGGTGAACCACGAATGCTCCAGGCTTGGAGGCAGCAGGTAAGATGGCCAGTGCAGCTCAGTGTGACTGGTGGGTTCAGCACAAAAAGAGAGCTGGATGGGCCAGCACTGTCCTATGCCTTGAGGCTGAGCAATGCCCGGCAAAGGCACCTGAAAATAAGCAGAAGCAGATAGCACAGGCGTATGCAGAGAGAAAAGCTTTAAGTGGCAGGTGATAACCAGGAGGAATGGGAAGAACCTAGCCTGAACTACCGGCTCACCCTGTCCTGCAGCATGCCCCGGCTCTCCTCATCATCACCAAATTGCAGGACATAGTAAGCAAAAATAACATCCACAGATGGGGGAAGAGAAAAACACAAATAAAATGATAAGCAAACCGCTCCAGAGAATCAAACATGTAAAAGAAAATAATGTCCTAAATGGGAGACAGTCAATACATTAAACTGATATCCAAGAAATAGAGCAGCAAGCAGGATATTTTAAATGAATACTTAATATTCTCAAAAAGGGATGGGATTGTCAAACAAAATAGGTTATAAAAATGAAAAACATAACAATTGGTAAACAGAACAGTACAATGTAAACAACTGACAAGAAAATGAGCAAGCTGAAGATCAAGCTGAAGAATTCTTCCCGAGAGGAAAAAGTCATGGGAAAAATGAAAAAGAAAACCTAAGAGACATAGAAGACAGATCAAAGAGTCAATAGACCCTTCCTTTATTGAAAAGATGTTCCAAAACAGAATAGAGAGGAAGCAACAGGAGAAACCGTCCAAGAACCGAAGCAAGAAAAAGAACTCTTTAGAATAAAAAGGCCTCAGCTACTGAACCAAATAAATAAATAAATATCATAAAGAAAAAAACAGATATATTTGCCTACAATGAAATGAAAAACTTCTAAAGGACAAAAGAGGCCATACAATTAAGGATAAGCAACAGACTGGGAGAAAAATATTTGCAATATATAACTAATGTCAATGCTGAAAATTATGAAGAATTATAAAAATTTAGAAGAAAACACTCAATTGAATACTGGACGTTATATAAGTTAATGCCTGCCATCTTCCCAACAGCCTGTAAGGTAGGTGAATCTTACTATCCTTGTTTTACAAATAAACAACCCAAGGCATCAAGTGGTCAAGCAACATTTCTCAGATCCAACAGCCATGAATGGAGAAGCCAAGATCCGGGCCCAGGTAGTCTAGCTCAACTGTCTGCTCTTAACCACATGCCATTTTAATATAAGGTTTAGCCTTATCTGTGCACAGAAGCATATACAATATGTTCATTACAGCATCATTTATAGTGCAAAGACAGAAGGAAAAAAACAGCTACCACCAGTAGAGAAATAGATAAACAAAACATTATACATTATACATAATGCACATAGTTATACATTAAATAATACGTAGTATTTAAAAGAAAGGCAATATATGTACATGGAAAAGCATGGTCAATTTTGAAGACCTGTACATTTAAAAATATACAGGTATGTATTTATGGCTAGGTAGAGACTTGTAAAAGATAAATAAAACAATCACAGGCAGACACTAGCTATTAGAGGGAGTCCAGTGAGATTTCAAAGCAGAAGGGAGATAGTTTCAAAGGCATTTCTGTCAATGTGTACATCTGATGACCTTATACTAAGGATGGGCTCACATTTTTCTCATGAATAATTAAAGTAGGATTGAGGAAACATTTTCTTGAACAGTTGCCATAGGCCAGGCGTAAAGCTATCAGAGTTATCTCATTCCATTCTAAAACAACTTCACGTGATGATTCGTATCATTAACCTAATAATAAAGAAGGATAGTAAGGTTTAGTGTGTTTAAATGATTCACTGCAAATGTCTTATACCTGGAGAGACTTAGATTTGAGCCACTGTCTATCCTAAACCATGCTGTGATGTCAAAGCCTGACTGACAATATTGATACAAGGACAGAGAGAAAGAAGTTTCCAGGCTACACCCACCATAACAGACCCAGGTCTTACCACAGCGATCTCGGACAACCAGGTTCCGGCCTTCCTTCAGGTGTATGGTGAGGAGGTACGCAAAAGGGCTGGGGAGGTTACTCAAGCCATCACTGGCTTCCCCCGGTACCTGCACAGATGGAGAAGGCAGTTAAGACAGTATGTCTTGGGCCCAAGCAAGAGAATTTCAGAAATACTTCTCGATTTTGGAGGGAAAAAAGAAAGGCCACTATGATGATCGACTGTCATCCCCAACTCCTCCTCACTATGACAACTTGGTTACCCTGCTTTATTAAAAAGTCCCTTACATTTCTCCCCAGTGGGATTTTATCAGTATTCAGAAGCAAATATGATTACATCTTTGCAAGGTTAGCCTTCCAAGAATTAGATAACCAACCTCTGAAATACCCTCATTAAATTACTGCAGGATCCCTTGTTATAAAACTCAGGGTAGAGCCCCAAGAGAGGCAACAGGAGGAAGAAGTGCAGCTGCAGGCCTGGCTCCCAAGAACATGTGTCCCCGCTTCCAAGTTCAGATGTAAGATGCCCCGTCCTGTTCTCCACCCTTCCCACCAACCCCCATCACCTCTGTAGACTTCCATGTGTAGTAAAATTTCAGTTCTGGGCACTCAGCTGATGCCCCCACAAGCCCACATGTCCAACTGACACATGCTCTTCCCTGGGTCCCCAAAGGACATTGTCTCTGTCCAGTGCTCTCCCGGCTTTTCCACCCTTCTCTTTCATTCTCTGGCACCCACTCTTAGTGTCTCTTACTCTAATCCTCACAGTCTCACCTTCCCGCAACTCAGTCACTTCCTCCTCCAGAAATGCATCAACTCCTGCTGGCCATATTGTAGAATTCAAGTCTGTTTTTGAATATGTATTACATGAGCCCAATTAAATTTTTGAGTCATTTCAAACTTTTGACTGTCCTTAAAGGGAAAAGGGCAAATAAAATCATTTATCATTCACTTATTGGACATTCAATTAATCGATCCTGTGGCTAAGCCACCCTTGACAGCCTTCTTTTGAAAGTTTCAAAGCACTTCAAACTGGCTTTATCTGCCTTACTATCTCACTCAATTTCATAGTTACTCTGTATTTTTAGAAGAATCTATCCCAGTCTGACAAATCAATAGATACTGAATTAATCTCCTCCAGCGAAAATTTGCAAGGCCTGGTTTTGTAAGTGGATACGGTTTGGCATTTTTTTTTTTTTTTTAGCAATAAAAGAGGCAAAAAAAATACAAACCCAAACATTTGATGAGAAATATCTACAACATTTAATGTTTCTTTTTAAGGAATGCCACTCACAGATTGTTCTTCAAAATGTTGAGATGTCATAGAAGCATTCAGGTCACTGCTTCCACATAGCTTCTGCAAAGAAAAAGAAAAAAAAATCTGCTTTACAAAAGCAAATTAATACCAACTCAGGAAGATACCCTCTATCAGGTCTTTTCCTTTGGAAATCTGATATTTGCATATGCAGCTTCAGTGAGGGCCGCCTTCCTGTTTGTGTGGCAAGGAGACGTGGATGCAGAGGTGTCATCCTAGCTGTGTCCTCTGCCGCCTAAGTCACTGGATAAGAGGAACTGCACGCCCCTGCTGGGCCACATGGCATCCCTAGTTCACCCACATGTTTAGCATGCAAATAGCTTTGTTCCCAGAGAAAGCAGCGGGGCAGCACAGCCACTGTGCCAGATCCCTCCCAAGTGGGCCAGCCCGGCCCCCAGCCTCCGATGTGAAACGAGCAGCTCAGGATCCAGAGAATCGAGCATGTCCGTTCGGAAGGAAACGTTTCAAAGAGTGATCTGAGAGACATTCCTCAAGCCATACCTTCATGGGGCTAGCAACTGGTCAATCGCCAAACCAAAACTGGGAAATGCAAATTCTGAACAGATGACCTCAGAATGAGAGGTGTCTATGTTTCCCAGTATTTGTTTGTTTGTTTTTTTTTTTAGACAGAGTCTCACTCTGTCGCCCAGGCTGGAGTGCAATGGCATGATCTCGGCTCACTGCAACCTCCACCTCCTGAGTTCAAGTGATTCTCCTGCCTCAGCCTCCCGAGTAGCTGGGATTACAGGCACCTGTAACAACGCCTGGATAATTTTTGTATTTTTAGTAGAGATAGGGTTTCACCATATTGGCCAGGCTGGTCTCGGACTCCTGACCTCGTGATCTGCCTGCCTCACCCTCCCAAAGTGCTGGGATTACAGGCGTGAGCCACCATGCCCGGCCCCTATGTTTCCCAATTTTAAAATGCTTCTCGTACCCAGGAAATGAGTCCACAGGGCAATGACACCTGCATCATGCAGTAGTTAGTATGGGGCACAGATTCCTCAGTTGTGTCAGCTTTTATAGGCACAAAGGAGATTTTATCTGTTTCTGGAACTTTAACAGAGTTTCTGGGCTGAATGTGAGGACAGCTGCCTGCAATGAGAGGCAGAGTGGAGGGGGGACATGGGCAAATGGCCTCCCAGCAATTTGAGGATATTCCTGTTTGGCACATTAGCCAGGACTGATTGCGTCAATGAAAACCACGGAATTTCCCCTCCAAAGACGACTGGATAACTTCATTGCTATGGGCCAATTTGGAGATGAGAGGCAGCCCCGGAGACAATGCTTAGGAAACCATGAGCCACTGCGGGTAGGGGCACTGATGACATTTGTCCTTTCCATGCACAGTGACCACCTGGACATGACTCAGACATCCAGCTTGATGGCAGGCTACCTTCCGAGACACACATTCGCTCTGTCCAGTGCAGCTTCAAGAAGCAACAAAACATCCAGACCAGGGGGCAAATCTTCAGCACCCACGAGAAATGGTGAGGAGCTGCAAACAAGGACGGGCTTTCTGGCCCACTGCCTCTGCATGCAGTGACATCGAGAAAGGCTGCAACTGGGCAGAAACGAGCCCTGAGTACAAGAAGGAATGGAGCCTCATGGGGCTAGGACAAAGAGGCCCTAAGGTTCTTGTAATCTGCGGTTCTTACCCTTGCCTCTTTCCCCATCAGTCCCAGGTTTAATGTCCCTAGACTGTGAATACACTGTGTTCAGTTCAGGTTAATTCGCACAGGATCAAGAGTGATTTCAGACACAAGCTTTTTCTAGGGCCCTGGCACTATAGCCACTATATGCCTCTGACTGAGGAAGTACCACCACTGCCTAGGCAGGAAGACAGCCCTAACTCTCAATGTGGCTTGATGACAGACAAGAAAAGAGGCTACAGGTCCTTTGCCAAACAACCTCTCCCTTAGTTCTTGGTATCTCCTGCATGTGTTATGTATAAAAGGACCCCCAGGTGAGTTGGGCAGTACTCTCTGAAGTCCACTTTATGCCAATAATCAGAACCTTATTCAACTTACTGAATTTCCCAATATCAATAGATTTATTTGTATGTGTTTTATACCATACACTATCATTTCCCAATAATGCAATCAAATGCAATCGTTCTGCCTGATTTCCAGCATCAATAACCATGCCTTCACATGCAGAGCCAAGAGTAAACGGTGCTGATGCTCTGAAGCCTGAAAAATCACATGCTATGGTCTCCAGTTCTATTAATTGAATCAATGCTCTACCTAACCAATCCCATTTTGAAGATAATTCCACAAAACTATTGGGATCCACTAAAGTGGATAATAACACTTTTGATTAAAGTGTTATGTCATTAGCCAAGGATAATGATGGTCTTGTATCTTCTACTTTCAAATGGAGGAGTGGACAGAGGTATGATTAAACCGTATCACCCCTCAGACTGGACCATATATATTCTCCCAAGTTGTCCTCACTGTACTGAATGATGATGTTAATTAAATGACAAAATTAATCCACCTAACCACCATCATTTACATGTTATCAAAAATGAAAACAGAGCTTTTATTCAAATATGTGATAAGTCTTCCACTTATAACAACAAGGAAATTCAATGTGAGCAATGACATTAATTCAACATTATGGCTGGTTTTACTCACAGAAAAGTCACAGAACTTAAAGTTATGGTTCCCACAGCCACCGTAACTGTCACACACCATATATAAACACCAAGATAGGAAAGTGATTACCATAAAGAACAGCAAAATGTTCCATATGCACAGGAGGATGGAGTTACAGCCGCTGGGGGACACATAACTTTGGATATTCCCCCACACTCTTGCATAGTGCCTGTGGTATTATTCGTTGAGTAGAAGTTGCATTATTTTCACCTGCTTTATAAACCTAGAAACTACATCACTAACTTACTTTTTTCATTAAAAAGAGAAGAATTAATATTTATTTCATCAGGAATACCCCAGAATACCAATATTACGAGATTTTTAAAAAATGTTCCTAGGCTGAGTGTAGTGGCTCATGCCTGTAATCCCAGCACTTTGGGAGGCCAAGGTGGGCGGATCACCTGAGGTCAGGAGTTCGAGACCAGCCTGGCCAACATGGCAAACCCCCCCATCTCTAATAAAAATACAAAAATTAGCCGGGTGTGGTGGCGTGCACCTGTCATCCCAGTTTCTCGGGAGGCTGAGGCAGGAGAGTCACCTGAACCCAGGTTGTGGAGGTTGCAGTGAGCCAAGATCATATCACTGTACTCCAGGCTGGGCAACAGAGTGAGACTCCATCTCAAAAATAAAAAAAAAAAAAAAAAAAAGGAAAGTTCCCAATAAATGTAACCAAGCACTGTGGATTCCCTTAGTTTTTTGTTTATGTTTGTTTGTTTGTTTTTGAGACAAGGTCTCCCTCTGTCACCCAGGCTGGAGTGCACTGACATATTCATAGCTCACTGCAGCCTCGACCTCCTGGAACTTTAAGCCATCCTCCTGCCTCGGCCTCCTGAGTAGCTGAGATTACAAGTGCACACCATCACACTTGGCTAAGTTTTGTTTTATTTTATAAATATTTTAGAATATAAAAATTTTTAAATAGATATATGTTGTAGTATTATATATTATTTTATGTTATGAAATATTTTATAATAAAATAGTTTTATTTATTTTATAAATTTTCTTACAAAATTTATTTTTATAGAGATGCCTTCTCACAGCTGCCATAACTGTCGCACACCAGCCCAGGCTGGTCTCCATCTCCTAGCCTTAAGCGATCTTCCCGCCTTGGCCTCCCACAAAGCACTAGAATTACAGATATGAGCTACTGTGCTTGGCCTTTTTAAAAAAAATTTACTTAAAAAAATTAACACACTGTAAAATTGACATTTTCCATGTGTACACTGCCATAGTTTTAAACACCTGTATATATTTGTATAACCCCCACCACAATCATAATAATAGAACAGTTCTACCACCCAAAAAAATGCCTCTGTGCTATTCCACTTTGACCCCCATCTGTGGTCAAATCTTCCAACTCTAGAACCATGGCAAGTAATTGTATATTTTCATCATATAGTTTTATCTTTTCTAGAATATCATATCATTGGAATCATACAGTATTTAAATGTTTGAGACTGGAATCTTTTACCCAACTTAATGCCTTCGAAATCCGTAAAGGTTGTCATCTGCGTCATTCTTTTTTATTGCTGAGTAGTGTTCCATCCTGGGGATGTACTATCTATTGATTGTTTACCTAATAAGCATCATTTTAACATTTCAAACAAATTTTGTACAAGTACATACTCAGGAAGAGAAATAATTTTAAATATTGTCAAAGCTAATAAGTCTCAATATGACAAAACTGTCTAATTACATACTAGCATTCAGAAACACAGCATTAACATCTTGGAATGAGCACTATTATGAGATTAGTCTTCCCTTGCATAGCTCTCACTGCTGCCTTTCAGGTAAGTGTTTTTCATTTGTGTTTTTTTAAATAAAAGCAACTTTGCATTGATATTTCCATTCTGCCTTGCTAAACTGAAATTTATGGGAAGGTAATACATACTTTGCATTCCCTTTAGATGTGGATTTTCCTACCATAAGAATGCAAATATATTAAAATTCGGCAGGATATGGGGAGACACTGGAATGGCAGATCAATTATTTTAAAAAGAAAATCTTCTCTAGTCACCAAGGACTTTGAGATTGAGGGCAAGAAACTGTTGTGAATAAACATTTTCCTTTCAATATACACTAAATGTGATCCTGTACGAATACCATCTCCCATGTGGCTGTCTGAAGGGTCTTACTATGAGGCACACACAGGAAGCCAAATTAAAAATTAGGTAAGCAGTCACTGTTTGTTTACATTTCAGAGGAAGAAAACATAAACCCACATCCAGAAAAGCTAAATAAGAGTAAAAATTTGGCTGAACAAATCAATAGTATTCTCTTTAAAAACTGCCCCATTAAAGTATATAAATGTATACATACTGCATATTTAATCTATAACCCGTATCTTGTCTATCTAGAATATGTATATTTAAGAATACAGGAGTCACAAACACAAATACATAGAGGACAAAGGAAGTTACAAAATAAGCAAAAGGAATCAGACGGCTCCACTAACCAGGAAGCAGCAACTGGACACAGTGATAGAATGAAAAGTGAGCTACATGGCAATGAGAGGTCAAAACTGGAAGGTGTATTCAGAAGACAATCAAGCCTACTAAACGGCCAAGTCTGTTCTTATTTTTTTGTACCACTTTTCAGGAGGTTATGGATCATACAATCAAGGTGTATAAATTTAATTCTCTCTCATCTCCAAGACTGGTCTCTAAAAGTGATTTCCCTGCTGTATTGACTGTCTAATCTAATAGCAAAATCTGAATCGTGTGTGTGTGTCCATATACCTTGCTCAAGCATATGATGGTATAAAACAGTCAGTAAATTACATCCCATGAGACAAATCCAGCCCGCCGCTTGCTTTTACAAAGTTTGATTGAAATACACCGCTGTCTACTTGTTCTTGTGTTGTCTATGGCCAATGTCATGTGACCTCACCTTGAGTAGTTGTGACAGAGGCCTGTGGCCCACAAAGCTCTGGCCCTTTCTAAAAAAAAAGTTTATCAACCCCTGTTGAAATGCTCTAAAACTCTGCATATTTAGTAATATTTGTCCACTGACCTGCCGTAAGTTTTTTGCATGTTTATTAACAGGAGATACTTTAAAAAATGGTTGCTTGTACATCGCTGAGCACTTTCTAATGTAAAATTTATGCTCCTTGTAACTTCTTAAAACAAGTCCACAGGCTGTCATTAGTCTCCCCAATTGGCAAAGAGGAAAGCAGAGCCAGGAGGCTAAATGGCCATCACAGGAAAGCTGGAGAGTTCGGCCCTGGAGAGCACTCTAGGTTGGGCTTCCCCTGAGTGACCTGGGTACGCTGCTCTTTTCACTGTACCACACCTGCGCCAGGAGAATCCCAAAACAGCACACCTCGCCTGACCAGGAAGCAGCTGTACATGGTAGTGAACAAGGCTCTGGAGTCCAAAAGACCTGGATTTGAGTCCCACCTCTGCTACTTTCTAGCTTTCTGTCCTTGAAAAATATACCTAAAATTCAAGACATGGGAACATCTCTCAATGGATCAAAACAGATTCTTATAGGTTGTTAGAATAATTAAATCACTCAGAGGGTATTTACTGAAAGCCTTTTCTCAGACAGACACTGTGCGAGGACTCTTCGCATACAGAGGAAACCAAATAGATGTGGTCTGATAATATTTATGTAGAAATTAGCAGAGTTCCTTACACATAAACCCTCAGTAAGTAGCATTAGATTGGTGTTGCTATTCTATTTATTATTATTATTATGAATTATATTAGTAATAGTCATAAAACAGCCTATGTGTTTGGGAAGAGTGGATCAAAAGAACTTGATGAAGGTGGTGAGCAATCTGAGTCCCTTTCTTAGCTCCCTCCAACATTCCCCACCGAAAGTGACCAGGACAAAGTCAGAGACTGGCTGACGAAGCCTCGGGACAGTGCCATTTTCCCTCTGCCCACAGCCCATCAGCCTGTGCGCCATTTCTCCATATCTTTTGTCCAAGGCAAAGCTTGGACTTACTGCTATACCCAGTGTCTACAGCAGACACAGCAAGCACTGCCCGTGTGCCAACGATTCCTTCTGCCCTATGAGTGATGCAGCATTGAGCCCATGGGGCTCCTGTGCATCCCGCTCATTCAGTGCACTAAGCAGCTAGAGTTGCCTGACAAGATAGGAACGCCCTACATGATGTGGCTTCTGTTCACTTCTCTGCCATCTCCTCCCATTGCCGCCTCACTGCCTCCTCTCCAGCCTCACTGCTTCCTTGCTCTTCCTGAAACATCAGGGACACTCCTGCTACCCTGGGGCCTTTATGCTTGCTGTTCTCTTTTTCTGGAAGGCTTTTCTCTAGCTATGCACACAACCCACTTCCTCACCTCCTCCATATCTTTGTGTGAAGGTTATCTTCTCGGAAGAGGTCCTTCCTGACCACTCTGTACAAAATGATAACACCTCCCCCCCAGCACCTACTCTGCTTTCTTTCTCTCCATGACACTTTATGTTCTGATTATATCTATAGCTTGCCACCTTTCCTAGTGGAAACTCCATGAGGAAGGTGACTTTTTTCTATTTTGTTGACTACTCTGTCCCTAGTGTCTGGATCTGCATCAGCACAAAGCAGGCGTTCAACAGGTGCGAAGGGAAGGAAGAAGAACAGCGAGACTGAGCCCATGATGGACCCTGGGATGTAGCTGACACACCTGCCTCTCTGACACACCATCACATATTGAGGTACGACTTTCGAGATCACACAAAAATAGTAAAAATGACGTCATTGAAGTGTAGAGAAACTGACGCACTTGTTTAATTTTGCAACCTGGAGGTCGTTTCCTCTCCTCTGTGGTTTCTCACTCTACTTCTCTGTGATCACTAACCTGAAGCTATGCAGTTGCCAAGCCATTTCTGGAAATATCTCAATGGGGAACTTCTCTAAATCACTCAACTCACCCACGTAAGTGCATGCCAAAGCTAGTTATTCACAACTCCAACTGCCAAATGAAATGTCAGGGAAGGACATACCCCATTGTGGAATTTCATGGATTATGGGAAAGGGGGAATGATCCTTTCTTTCATAATTATTAGTTATTGACCATGACAATGAGCCCATTCAATCTTGATAATTATCCTTGTGTTTAAAAGGACACAGTGGACACAGAAAAATAAATGTCTTCCTTTTGTGATCAACTTTTTTTATCTCCAGATCTGAGCTCTCCCATTTGCAGAATTGTACTTCCAAACTCATGTTATACCCACAGTTCTGCGCACAGTCCCAGGATTCAGACAATCCTGGAGTTAGATCCTGTCTCTGACACTTACTAGCTGGATGACATTAAGCAAGTCACTAAAATTCTCCAAACCTCCATGTCATTCTGAAAAATAAGCAATGTTAAAAATAATTATAAACACTAATGAATACAACCAAAATCATGGCAGTAAGCACTTGTTAGGTGCTTGTGGCTGGCAGGTACTGGGCTAAGACCTTCATATTTTTCTAGCCCCACAGACAAACTTAACTAATCTGTATTACTCTCTGCCTATCTAAGTCTTACTAATTCTCAAAAGGAGTTCTCTTCAAGCCTTTCCTGACCACCCTGCTCAGAATAACCTCCCCATTCATCTCAACTGGTTATCTAGCACTGAGTAGAGACTGGTTGGTATTGCTGGTCATTTTTTTCAGTGTCTGTGTCTAATCCCAATTTCACCATCAATACCTACGGCAAGAACCAGAATAGACCGTATGCATTTTCTAAATACTTAGCTGATTTTACAATGCATGTTAAAAGCGTCTTGTAAAGTAAGTACTGGGAGAGTGCTGACTAGAGGAGAAAATGAGGAGAAAAAAACTAGATAAGAAGAAAAAAATAAAAAAATAAGCTCCTCTCCCTCCGAGTTCCCTTAACTTTAGCTTCTTCACATTTCATCTGATGCTTAGAAACTCCTTTCTTTAGGGCCCTACCCACGTAGCGCCTCCATGTATCACCCTTCCCCAACACAACTAAATTTCTTATGGCTTTCCAAGCCTTTGGCAGTGGCTGGAAAGTCAACTGCAGTGATAATATGAATCAATATACATGCATATCATATAAGCAAGGTTTGCAGAAAGGCCGGGAGAAGAAGAAAAATGACATTTCTACTCTTCAAGAGCTTATACTCTAACAAGAGAGACTGACTTCTAAACAGCTATGTGTGTATACACACACACCTATAAAAAGGTATATATATACACTCCCATACATATATATATATATCCGCATGTGTGTGTATGTGTGTGGAGGTATTGGTATGTGGCAGTAGACTATGGTGCTCTTACCTCCTCTTTAGCCACAAGTCTTGGCCACAAGCAATGAGATCGTCCTCCGAGGCTAAAACTGTTAAGATCACAGAGTTAGTCAGCTCAGGCGACTATAACAAAATACCACTTACTAGGTGGCTTAAACAACAGAAACCCACTTCCTGCCTTGCAGATGACTCCATTCTCACTGTGTCCTCACATGGTGGGGAATGAGAGACCTCTGGTGTCTCTTTCTCTTGTATAAGGACACCAGTTCCATTGGATCAGGGCTCCATGCTTCTGACCTCACTTATCCTTAATCACCTCCTAAAGGCCATATCTTCAATACAGTCATGTAAAGGTTAGAGATTCAACATAAGAACTTGGTCTGGGGGACACAATTCAATCCAAGCAATGACTCTTTATCCGTCAGCACCCAGACATACAAAGTCACCTAAAGGACACAATATGGATGCCAGGCCACCATGATAAGATATCAGCCTTACAATTAATGAAGTGATAACATACAATTAATGAAATAATGTGTCAATCAGAAAAAGGGAGAGGTCACGCCAGGAAGCCTCAATAAAAGTTTGGACTTGTTCAGAAGGAGGGACTTTAAAATCCAGGCTTCCTGGACTAAGTGGGCTCACAGAGATGGATAAAGGTGGCCCTAGTAGACAAAGTGTGAGTATGTCAAGTTCTAATTTGTGGCTCAGTACCCATTGTGAGATGGATGGTGTATGAAATGCCATTCAGCATGGAGCCCATGCATTCTCCCTGCAGTGTGCCAATCCCTGCACCAATTTTCCTGATTCTCATGTGACTTCTCCTAAAGGCTGACTGTGGGGAGGAAATGCATTTCAAGTGTTTCCAGGCCCTGAGATAATAATTTCTCCTAACAGGTTAATGAAGTAGACATTGATTATGATTTGACTTTCTGTGTGATTTGACAAAAATGAAGAATGAGCTGTTTACATCAAAAGAACATTAGAGTCTTTAATTTTTATTATTTTTTTTGAGATGGAATCTTGCCCTGTCACCCTTGCTGGAGTGCATGGGCACAATCACAGCCCACTGCAACCTCTGCCTCCTGGGTTCAAGCGATTCTCACGCCTCAGCCTCCTCAGTAGCTGGGACCACAGGCATGTGCCACCATGCCTAGCTAATTTTTATATTTTTAGTAGAGACAGGATTTTACCACGTTGGCAAGGCTGGTCTTGACCTTCTGACCTCAAGTGATCCACCCATGTTAGCCTCCCAAAGTGCTGGGATTACAGGCATGAGCCACCACATCTGGCCTAGAGTCTTCAAAGTATTTAATTCTCATGGCAAATTAGTTGTGATTGTCATTTGTAGCTCAGACTTGTGACCATCTGGTTATCATGAGTCAGTCCTCTGAGCTAGATGACCACTGGACAGTTAGTACATGTCTTAGAGCATGCCGACTTTCTCAAGAACTTACTCAGTGATGCCCTTGCCCAGGACCAATTTGTCTTCCCCTTTCTACCTCCTCTTCCTGTTGTAATCCCTTCTTCTCTCTACAGATTTCTCCAGAGAACAGACTGAGGTTAGTGCTCAGTCAGAGTAAAAGTGACATGCTATGAAAATGAAGGCAGGCTGATTATACTCACCACAGAGTTGGAAAAAGCACCACAGAGAAGGAAGGTTTCCACTAGGCCTTGAAGTATGGGAAGGATTTCAGTAGAACAGAATGAATATGAAGTAAGTTTGCTCCGTGTCCCCACCCAAATCTCATCTTGTAGCTCCCATAATTCCCACATGTTGTAGGAGGGACCCATGGGAGATGACTGAACCACGGGGCAACTCTTTCCCATGCTGTTCTCGTGACAGTGAATGGGTCTCATGAGATCTGATGGTTTTATGACTGGGAGTGTGATAGTTAATACTGAATGTCAACTTGATTAGACCGAAGGATATAAAATATTGATCCTGGGTGTGTCTGTGAGGGTGTTGCTAAAAGAGATTAACATTTGAGTCAGTGGGCTGGGAAAGGCAGACCCACCCTTAATCTGGGTGGGCATCATCTAATCAGCTGCCAGTGTGGCTAGAATATAAGCAGGCAGAAAAATGTGAAAACAGACTGGCCTAGCCTCCCAGCCTACACCTTTCTCCCATGCTGGATGCTTCCTGCCCTCAAACATCCGAATCCAAATTCTTCAGTTTTGGAACCTGGACTGCTTGCTCCTCAGCCTGTAGATGGCCTATTGTGGGACCGTGTGATCATGTGAGATAATATTTAATAAACATATATATATATATTCCATTAGTTCTGTCCCTCTAGACAGAACTATATATATATATATATAAACTATATATATAAACTATATATATATATAAACTATATAAACTATATATATATAAACTATATATATATATTCCATTAGTTCTGCCCCTCTAGAGAACCCTAATACAGGGAGTTTCCTTGTCCATGCTCTCTCCCTTTGCTGGCTGCCATCCATGTAAGACATGACTTGCTCCTCCTTGCCTTCTGCCATGATTGTGAGGCCTCCCCAGCCATGTGGAACTGTAAGTCGTCCATATTAAACGTCTTTCTTTTGTAATTTGCCCCGTCTCGTTATGTCTATCAGTAGCATGAAAATGGACTAATATGATAGGTAAGAGAGGAGGAAACATGTGAGACGACAAAAGACCCCACAAACATGAAAAGCAGGGAAAGTAAGAGACTACCATTATTCACAGATGTTTGGCTTGAACAACTAGGTGAATAATGGTGATACTGCCAAGAAATCATGGTCTATGTTTGAGGTGGTTCTTCAGGGAGACTGAATTCTGTCAAAACAAGTCGAAACCAGGTTCCTATGAGACATCCAGTAGGGTGTGGATCTGGAGCTCAAGAGAGAGTCTGGCTAAATCCTCTTCCACGGATGTATCCTTTCTTCTAAGCGTATGTTCTCACCTTTTGGTTTTACAGCTGGATTTGGCATTTGCAATATTTTAGGCTCTGCCTGTCCTGTTTTTCACATTCCTTCTTCCTTGCCCCTCATGCTTACTTTCCTCTTTTGCCCCATCATTCCAATTCCCCATAACAGTAGACTAACATTTCACTTTCTTTGCTGATGCTGGTGGGCCTGGAGGTGACTGCAGAATTCAGGCATTGCTGATATTTGGGGTCCTGTCCCACTGCCACAGGCTTACTCTCTGCCTATCTGAGTCTTACTAATTCTCAAAAGGAGTTCTCTTCAAGCCTTTCCTGACCACCCTGCTCAGAGTAATCTCCCCACTTATCTCAACTGGCACCAGAGAAGCGCTGGTACACAACAGAAGAGGCAAACCCCTAGGGATCCCTCAGGCCACAGATGCTCACTCCTTGCCTGACCCCTCTGGAAAGCTAAAAACAAAGTAAGTTAAACTGAGAACACTGGACAAAAATCTGATTGTCCTTGCTGTACACCAGGCTTGCCACATGCCAACTCCTTCCTTCTTCTTCATTTCTTCCTCATTCCACACAAGGTATAGAAAGCCACCAGCTATTAACTAGGAAGAAACAGATAAGCCATATCTAAAACACAGAGGAACCAATTCCCAAACTCTCAGGTGACATGAATTCTGCAGGAATTCCCTTTGTTTAAAAAAAAAAAAAAAAGCAGAAATGATAAATTCAGAGTTAAAATCAATATCAAATTTCAGCCAAAAAGTTTACACCTGCCTAAACCTCTAATTTCAATTATCATATAAAATAAAATTGAGTATTTTTTCAAAAACCACAGATGATTTTAATTAAATCATAAACTAAAGAAAACTCACAGGAAAAACACAAATACCCAAGTAACCTGAATGCACACGTTGCTATCATCGTTTTTGTATTAAACAAATATCAGCTGAGCATACGTTATGTGCTATGCGCAAGGCATGAAGCTAGACGCTTAGAAAACAAAGACAAAGGTGTCTCCCCAGCCATGCCAATCCTCCAAATCAACACAGCCTAGTGGAGAAGATAAGTAAGGAAGCCCCTCTTCTGTACCATGTGATAAACTGGTAGTGGGACAGGGCCTTAAACATCAGACTCCAGGTTCTTCAGTTTTGGAACTCAGACTGGGTAGTGGGACAGGCCCAACTCAAACAGGCAGGACTGAGGGGAGGAGCCGGTGAGGAGGGAGCTGGGTGGGCAGAACTAGACTGCAAGGGATCCTAGGGGTCTGATCAGCCGCACTCCCGTCCCTCCGTCCTCTGCAAGCATGCCACCCAGCAAAGCAACGGCACTCAAGTAGAGAGAACCTCAACCCTGAACGGTAGAATCAGTCTTGGTCTTTGTTTTGTACTTTCTAGGTCAGAAAAAGAGGAGCAAAGGATTCATTTTTGAGAACAAAGGTTAAAAAAATGGTTGCGTTAAAAGGGAAAAACCAAATGATCCAGAATAACCTATTCTGGAAGGAATCTGCCTATTCTAAGCTTTCTGCATTTAGCCTGGAGAAGATAAAATAGCCAACCCAACAACCCCACATCTACTATCATGGACCAGCCCACACCCTTCCAGACACACATCACACCACAAAGCTCCCAGTGCCTCCAATCCAGGTAGAGCAAAACACTCATCACCCCCAACAGCACCCATCCACACTTCAGGCTGTGATCACCAGCTTTCCTCACCTGGCAAGCACACTATCCTCTGTGCCAACTTGGACACTGCTTCACAGATAACATGCCCTCATTTTCCACACACTGATCCCCTCCTTCCAGTGAGCTGCCAGGAGACCAGGCTGAAACATTTTGCAACAACAGCTCTGATATCCAGTAGCCTCTTATGCTCTGCTTGTAAGATCTCCCAAAAAATCACAGTTGGAGGGCAGAGGCACTTTCTTACCCATCTCTATTTCCAATAGCAACTTTCACACTGCCTGGCCTAGAGTAGCATTCAAATATTTCTGTTTAATCAACAAAGACAATAAAAGTTCTTTTTTTTTTTTTTTGAGACAGAGTCTCACTCTGTCACCCAGGCTGGAGTGCAGTGGCGCGATCTTAGCTCACTGCAGGTTCTACCTCCCGCGTTCATGCCATTCTCCTGCCTCAGCCTCCCAAGTAGCTGGGACTACAGGTGCCCGCCACCACGCCCGGCTAATTTTTTTGTATTTTTAGTAGAGATGGGGTTTCACCGTGTTAGCTAGGATGGTCTCAATCTCCTGACCTCGTGATCTCCACCCACCTCGGTCTCCCAAAGTACTGGGATTACAGGAATGAGCCACCGTGCCCGGCCATGACAATAAAAGTTCTAAATGGTTTAACAGCAGTCGCTTCAAAAAAATTCCTTCTGAGTATGAAAATGTTAGTATATCAAAGCCAAGAAGCCCACTTTTATTTTCTGGTCAGGAAAAAAAAAGACGAAGATTAACTTTATTATATAATTCAACAGGTTACCTTCCTTATACTGACCTGATTTAATAATCTACTTCATTTGCATTTTGTTTAAAAGAAACATGTATTTCAAATTCATAAATAACTAAAAAGTCAAAAAAGGTTTACAAAATGGGTTTTATAAAACGTAATGCCAAATAAAAAAATAGTTAAAGTCATTTATGGGTAATGGTGTCTTAATATAGTAATGCTTGCTAACGAATATGGCCATGATATCCTCCAAACATCCATGATCCCTTCCCTGGTGAAACCCTGATACATGGAATAAGCAATGAGTTTTGTTTCTAAAAGTGAAACTAAAAATCCAAGTTAAACAACCAGTTTTCTAGGCAATTGTAACACTAACCTGGAACACAGAAAAATTAACCCCTTACTTCAACATGGAAACCTACTTCAGTGTCAGTAACGAAAGACTTTTTAAAGACAACTAATTACATCAGTCACTTAAATCATGATTTGGTAACCTGGGGACTGAATTTAAATTATATTCACCCTTGAAATAAAATATTTGTGTCATCATTATATTTGGTTAATTAATTGTATTGAAATACTAAAGTTTTGTTAACTTTTTAAAAGAATGCTTGTTCACAGGCGAGTGCACACACAGGTATAAAATAGAAGGAAGTTCAAATCCTAAGGCAGTCAAAGGGGGACATACATTCATATGCTTCTTAGGAGTAATAATATGCATGGTTTTTCTACAGGTATGACTGGGCAATGGTGTAGTGAGAGACACAAACATACACTTAAAAAAAAATTCCAGGAAAAGTTAGGTACTTAATTTCTTTGCCAGGAGACAGATAAAAGAGAATTCATCCAATATGGCTTTTAATGTCCTAAAGTATTCTGGAAGAGTTATTTGTAATAGCTTTAAAACACACAGAGGTCAACCCTAAAACTAATGGGAACACTGGGTGCAATCAATACTGCATTAATTTAAATTCTTGTAAACAACATTCTCCCCATCTGAGCTAACCACGAAAATAACTCCTAACCAAATTTTCCAAAGGGAGGGGAAGGGGAAGGGGGAGGGGGAGGGAGAGAGGGAGGGAGAGAGGGAGAGAGGGAGAGGGAGAGAGGGAGAGGGAGAGGGAGAGGGAGAGAGGGAGAGAGGGAGAGAGGGAGAGAGGGAGAGGGAAAGAGGGAGAGGGAGGGAGGGAGAGGGAGGGAGAGAGAGAGAAAGAGGGGGGAGGGGGAGAGAGAGAGGGAGGGGGAGGGGGGAAGAGAGAGGGAGGGGGAGGGGGGAAGAGAGAGGGAGATGGGGAGAGAGGGAGAAAGAGAGGGAAAGAGAGAGAGAGAGAGAGACAAAAAAAAAGAGAGCCCAGCCCTATTCTCACCTCTGGCTCTTCTGGTGCATCCCCTCCAAGGGAAGTTTTCTGAAGATCAAAGATGCCGTTGCTGGACACCCGTCTCCGCTCAGCAGGAGAGGCATAGGCCTCCTCTGAGTCTGTTTCCACCACATGGAGGTGACTGGCTTCTTCCTGGCTCCAATCCAATTCTTCTTCAGACTGTTTCAAGGAGCTACTGCTGCTCTTGGGAAAGATCCCTGCAGTGGACAGACTGCTGGGCACCGAGGTGTAGGAAGACTGTGGCCCGGAGTAAGGCCGGCCCTCTGGGGCCAAGGCCTCAGCCTCCAGGAGATCAGGCACAGAGAGGCTGAGACGGCGGTCCAAGTGATGCCTTGCCCGTAGATCTGGGGGCTTACTTGGGTTCTTTTTCACCTTCTTCTTGCTCAAGTTGATCAACAATGGCCTGGTCCGCTGTTTTAATGAGCCCCAAACAGATGGTTTATCCAGATCCATGGCTGCATGAAGACCCAAGAAGCCACTTCTCAGAAGTACACCTCTACTGAAAACTGCAATGACTCCTATAAAACAGAAAAAAACAACAAAAAACAAACAAACAAAAAAAAAAAACATGAACCTTCTTGGTGGCAGTAAGGCACATCAAAGTGAGAAACACGACTCAAAAATCTTACAGTTTCCAATAAATGATTAAGACTGCAACATTTGATTGGTAACTTGTATAAATATTGGGGAAAGCATTTTTAAAGAACTTTTTAAAAGAATTTTATCAGAGCAACTGTAGAAACATTAAAACGAAGAATGAGATGATAAGGTTGGCACCAAAAAAAAAAAATGCTTCATGAAGAGATAACTGTCTTATTTCCTTCCCAGAGGAAGCGGAGCTAAAGACATTCACGAGAACACCAACAGCAGCTGTTCTTCAGTATGATCAAGGGGTGGGGACTTTCTACTTCTCTAAACCGGAGGTCAACAAACAGTCTCAGTGCAGGGCCAGTTATTAAATATTTTAGACTTGGTGGGCCAGATGGTGTCTGTCGCTACTACTCAACTCTGCTGTGCGACATCAAAGGAGACAGACAGAATACCTAAATGAAAGAATGTGGCTGTGTTGTAATAAAACTTTGCAAACCCAGCAGACTGTGGCTTGCTGATCCCTGCTTTAACCATGTCAACTTCCTTCCCAGAATTAAGTGTACGTTTTCAAGAACAAAAACATGGCCCTATCGACTAGGATTCCATCTAGTATCTTTCAAATTTATATTCACATACAGGTGATTAGAGCAAAACACATTTATAAAAATGTGAGTTTTGTTCTTATTCAGAAGAAATGACAAAATTCCCATAATGAAGCCCTTAAACAAAGCAAGCTTCTGAGATGTAGCCTGAGAATGTGAATGAAAGTGTGGCTCACTAGCAGTTGGTTATGAGGGATAAGGATGCTTCACACATACAGTAAATACGTAATTACAGAGTAGGGTAAATGCTGTGGAGGAAAGTGGTGATTTGGGATATAACAGGTTGAACTCATCACGGATCAAATCAAAATCAAATTTGCAGAAATAACCCTTATTTTATGTGTCACATGCCTCATAATAAATCCTTTCAGTATGAAAAAGAACAGGATGGGCAGACACTGAGACCTGGCCTGTTTGTATTTTGCCACATTTGGCTGAGGCCAAAAGAGGCCAAGAGCTTCCACAAATCACATTTTCTAAAATCAAGGACCCTGGCTGTTGTGCCCCACCCCAGCTCCTTCAAGGAGAGGACAGTTTATCATTGTGAAGAATGGTCCAGAGAGCCAGAGATCAGGGTGTGTGCAGCCATTTGCCTGCTAAAAGTCAGGACTTTGTCTCTATAGCCCTTGCCTAATGACCAGCGCATGACAAGAGCTTCTCCCAGGATGAACTTGGTATCTTCTGCAGACAATGTAAAGATTAAGAGCTTGGCCTCTCAAAACAGACTCCATGGGTTACAATTCTGATTTACTCTGTTCTACTTAGAGGTAGGACCAGGTGCAAGTCACTTCACTAAGCCTCCATTGCCTCACCCACCCAGTGGGGACGAGATTACCTAGTTTACAGATACGATGACACAAAGTAGAAAGCACAGTGTCTGATGCTTTAAAGTGCTCAGACACAGAAAGGTGTCTCTATCATTATTCTCATCATTTCTTGTTTGGATATCTTAATCAAGTTATGTAAGAGTTCTGTGTCTCACTGTTATTCCCATGTTACAGATGAGTTTAACAGTAAGTACCTCGGGAGGCTGCGGTGAGGACTGAATGGACTAATACACAGAAAGTGCTTTGGTATCTAGAACAGTGCTAGGTATGGAGTAAATGTTTAATACAATGTTAGCGACTTTTAAAATTGTTTCAATTACTTTGTATTGGGTCATTTTGGCTTTAAATGTTTAAAATAGTTTACAACTTTTTTTGCAGCTTTTAAAAACGTTATCCTAAACAGAAACTTGAATTTCACGTTAGCAATACGCAAGTACATTCAATTCACATCTCATAACTTGACTTGCAAATACGATAAAAGGCATTGCTTCTATTTTCATATAGCAATATTTTCCTTCAATTAGCATTTAATGAAGGAGAGTAGGGTAGCACTCTATGGAGACCTGGGAGGAATCTGTAAGAAATGGGAAGTGTCAAACCAGCTAATACAACCAGAGGACCCACAATGTGACAGGTACTATGAGAAACTCAGGACACAGAGCAGAGTCTTGAAAAAATGTATCATGTATGTGGAAATTAAAACAATGCAATTGAGACATCTGAGAAAAAGAATTTATACAAATTCCACACTAATTACAACCAGACAGAATTTTTTTTTTTTTTGAGTCAGGGTCTCACTCCAGTTGCCCAGGCTGGAGTGCAATGGCACGATCACAGCTCACTGCGGCCTCGAACTCCTGGGCTCAAGCGACCCTCCCAGTTCAGCCTCCCAAATAGCTGGGACTACAGACACACGCCACCATGCCCAGCTATTTTTTTGTACAGATAGAATTTTTGACAGAAGAAACATTTTGATGAACTAAAAATCTAAAGCTGAAAGAAAAAATATTTAAATAACTGAAAAGTCCGTTGTAAAGAAAGTAATATATATGGAAAACATAAAAATGGAGAAGGTGGCCAGTACCTTCTCAGCAAAAATAATGAGATTGAAGTTTGGGAATGACCCATATGTCATGCAGCGGCTGCTGCTGAAGACTCAGCACATGTGTGAAATAAAGTATACCTGAACATAGCCCAGAGAAGCAGCACTGTGGTTTCTGTGGGAGCAGCTTCAGATGCGCTCACACAGTGGGATACTGTACAATGCTTAAAACAGTTAGGTGGAGCCATATGTGTTTCAACACAAGTAATGAGAGCTATCGAGATGGAGACAGACAGACAGATATATTACAAGTTTAAATTCCTGGCTCTATAGAATTTCTCAAAGAGGTTCCCTACAGCACCCCAAAGAGACTCATCAAGATTGTGTCTTTAAAAATACCCAGTCCCGGCCAGGTGTGGTGGCTCATACCTGTAATCCCAGCACTTTGGGAGGCCAAGGCGGGTGGATGGCTTGAGGTCAGGAGTTCGAGACCAGCCTGGCCAACATGGCAGAATCCCATCTCTACTAAAAATATAAATAATTAGCCAGGTATGGTGGTTCATACCTGTAATGCCAGGAACTGAGAGGCTGAGGCACAAGAATTGCTTGAACCGAGGAGGCGGAGGTTGCAGTGAGCTGAGATTGCGCCACTGCACTCCAGCCTGGGTGATGGAGTAAGACTGTCTCAAAAAAAAAAAAAAAAAAAAAAAAAAAAGGAAAAGAAAAGAAAAATAAAGAGAAAAAAGTTTCAAAATAAATAAATATAAATAAAAGTAGACAGTCCTGGGCTCCACCACAGGAGATGAACGTGAGTCCCAAGAATCTGCCTTCCAACCAATCTCCCTGGTGTTACTGTGCAGATCAAAGCTTAGGAATCCTAGGGGAGAGGCTTACATTCCCCTTTGAGGGAAATCTCCTATTTGGAAGGGAGACTGGGAATGGGAATCAGCCTCTTATGAAATGAAGAGGTTTGTAATCTGTGTATCTAAGCAAACCAAAAACATCTCCAAGAAAATGAGAAAAGGAGTTGCTGTAAACAAAGTTGCATCTCTAAAGAATGTGTCTAAGTGGAAAAATGTTTATCTTCTCCATGCACTACACTGTCCTGTGCCAGGAGTCAGTCTCCTTTATTTGAGGGGGTGAAGCTGGTAGGAATGCACGTATTACTGGTACATTATAATATATTCAAGAGAAATTCAAGTAGAAAGCAGGGATATACCTAACCCCTGGACACTGGAACCACCAGTTTCACCATCTTTGTTTTGTTAAGAAATGACTTTTTCAACTTTATTTTTGAAATCATTCTAAAACAAAATTGGCTTTTTTCTCACTTTTGGTGCACAGTTCTATAATGTTAACACATTTACAGATTTGTGTTTACACCATCACAATCGGGACACAGAGGGGTCTGTCTATCCCCAAAGGATCACGCGCTCCCAGGCCCCCACTTCCTTCCTCTGCAAACCACCGTTCTATTCTCTATCACTATCATTTTGTCTTTCGGGGAATGTTTTCTAAACGGAATCACACAGTATATAACTTTTAGAGACAGGCTTCTTTCACTCAGCACGTTACCTTTGAGATTCATCCAGTTGCTGCACATGTCAGTAGTTGAACTTTTTGTTGCTGACAGTAGTAGTCTATTGTGTGGATGTACCACAATTAATCTATTTACCCCTTGAAGGACATTTGGGTTGTTTCCAATTTGGAATTCTTACAAATAAAGTTGCTATAATCATTTGTGTACAGGTTTTTTGTGTACGAATATATGTTCTCATTTCTCTGGGATAAATGCCAAAGAGTGAGATTGCTGGGTCATATGATAAATGAATGTTTAACTTTATAAAGAACCTGATAACTCTTTGCCAGACTTTAACAGACCAATTTGCATTCCCGCCAACAATTATGAGAATTCCAGTTGTCTATATCCTACTGAGGACTTAGTACCATCAGGACTTTTAATTTTAGCCATTCTAATAGGTATGTGCATAGCCATTCTAATAGGTATGTGTATGAGCTACTGCTGCTCTTGGGAAAGATCCCTGCAGTGGACAGACTGCTGGGCACCGAGGTGTAGGAAGACCGTGGCCTGGAGTAAGGCCGGCCCTCTGGGGCCAAGTCCTTTCAGTTGATAATACTGAAAAACCCAGTATTATCAACATCTGGGTTTTTAATTTTCATTTTCCTAATAACGTGTGATGTTGAAAACCTTTCTATGCATTTCCTGTCTTTTTATCTACTTTGATAAGCTGTCTATTCAAGACTTTTACACAATTTTTAGAAATTGGGTTTTCTTATTGTTGAGTTATGAGAGTTCTTTAAATATTTTGGGTATTAGTCCTTTGTTGAACACAGAGTTCACAAATATTTCCCCTACTTTGTAGCTTGTCTTCTCATTCTTAGTAGTGCCTTTTGCACAGTAAAAGTTTTTAATTTTGATATAGTCTAACAAGCCATTTTTTAAAATTTTATGTTATATACTTTTGGTGTCATGTGTAAGAACTCCTTGTCTAATCCCAATTAACAAAGGTTTTCTCCCATGTTTTCTAATAGTAATATAGTTTTACATTTTATATTTAGATTTATAATTTATTTAACTTTTGTATAGTGTTATATTTAGTTTAAGGTTCATTTTTTACATGTGAATAATTTTTTCCAATGTCATTGTTTTAAAAGACTGTAATATCTCCACTGAATTGCTCTTGTACTTTCATCAAAAATCTCTGCTACATCTGTGTAGTAGATAACCTTGACTCATTATTCCTTTCCATTGATCTATGTAACTATTCCAATACCATTTTGATTGCTGAAGGATGATAGTCTTTTAATTGGGTAGTGTGACCTCTCCAAATTTGTTTAGCTATTCCAGATTTTTGTATTTCTATATAAATTTTAGAATGAGTTACTCTCGATTAAAAAGATACTGCAACATTTTGATTGGTATTGTTTTCAATAAATAGAGCAGTTTGGAGAGTGCTGACATATTTACTATGTTTAGTCTCCAATACAAGCACATGGCAGGTCTCTTCATTTATCTAGGTCTTCCTTCATTTCTTTCATCAGCATTCTCCAGTTTTAGCTCACATACCCAGTACATGTTTTATTAGGTTGATTTGTATTTCATTTTTGTTGAAGCTATTGTAAATGGCTTTTCATTTTTGTTTCCAATTGTGTATTTTCAGCATAAACATATACAATTGAATTTTTTTATATTGGCTTTGTATCCTGTAACTTCCTACATTTACGTATTGCTTTTATTATATTCCTTTAGGTCTTCTTCATAGAAAATCACGTTGGGTATTTTTATTTCTTCCTCTCCATATGCTATGCCTTTTCTTTTTCTTGCCTTATTGGACTAAGACTTCAAATAAGATAGTGAATAGTATTAGTGAGAATGCATATTCTTTTTTTTCCCCCTCAGTCTTAGAAAGCATCCAATCTTTCTCCAGTAAGTATAGTGCTAGAGGTTTATCAATTTTATGGATTATTTTTCAAAGAACCAGATTTGGGTTTTTAATTTTCATTGTTTTACTATTTCAGTATCATACATTTCTACTCTTGTCTTTATGATTTATTTCTCTCTTCTTGATTTAGGTTTAATTTGGTCTTACTTTTTTTATTTTCTTAAGGTGGTGGCTAAATCAGAGGGTGGTAATCTACAGGCCAAATCAATACAACTACCTGTTTTTATACATAAAGTTTCATTGAATGTAGCCACACTAATGTGTTTACATATTGGCGATGACTGCTTTTGCCCAATGGTAGAGTTTAATAGTTGTGGCAGATACCATATGGCCCAGAAAGCCTAAAATATTTACTGTCCAAACATAGAGAGAAAGTTTGCCAACCACTGGCCTAGATTATGGCTTTGAGCATTTTCTTCATTTTAAAAATAAGGTTTAAGGCTACATATTAGCTGCATGCCACAAGATGTGAAATGTCATTTTCATTTTTTTCCTGTTTAAAATATTTTCTAATTTATCTTGAAACTTCCTCTTTGGGTCATGTCTTATGTAAAATTATGTTTTATTTTCACTTTTTTTTTTTTCTTTTTTGAGACAGAGTTTCGCTCTTGTAGCCCAGGCTGGAGTGCAGTGGCACGATCTCAGCTCACTGCAACCTCCACCTCCCCGGTTCAAGCAATTCTCCTGCCACAGCCTCCCAGATAGCTGGGATTACAGGCATATGCCACCACTCTCGGCAATTTTGTATTTTTAGCAGAGACAGGGTTTCATCATGTTGGTCAGGCTGGTCTTGAACTCCTGACCTCAAGTGATCCACCCACCTCGGCCTCCCAAAGCACTGGGATTACAGGTGTGAGCCACCACACCCGGCCTCACTTTCATTATTTTTTATTTTTCTTGAAACTTTCTCTTTAGGTCATGGTTTATTCAAAAGTATATTGGTAATTTCTAAGTATCTGAAGATTTTTCTATCTATCTTTTTATTAATTTCCAGTTTAACTCAGTTATGACCAGAAGTCATTCTCTTTATGACTTTCTTTTAAATTTGTTAAGGTTTGACTTATGACCCCCAATGTGGACTGTCTTGGTAAATGTCCCATATGCATTTGAAAAGACTGTATATGCTACTATGGTTGAGTGGAGTATTGTATAAATGTCCATTAGATTCAGTTGGTTGATAGTTCAGTTCTTCTATGTCCTTGCTGATCTTCTATTACTGAGACAGGAGTAATTTTTCAACTATAGTTGTGAATTTCTCTACTTCTCCTTTCAGTTACATCAGTTTTTGCTTCTGTATTTTGAAGCTCTGTTATTGCACACACATTTATGATTGTTATAGCTTCTTCCCGAACTAACCCTTCAATCAATATGTAATGTCTGTCTTTAACCCTGATGATTTTCTAGCTCTGAAGCCTATCTTGTTTGATTTTAACATAGCCATGCTAATTTACTTTTGGTTTGTGTTTGTGTGGGTTTTATTTCCCTCCATCCTTTCTGCTTTTCAGCTTACAATAACAATATATTTGAAGTGAGTTTCTTATGGAAAGCCCATAGCTAGGACATTTTTTTAAATCCAGTCTGACAATCTCTAGCTTTTAGTTGGTTTGTTTAGACCATTTATATTTAACATAGTACTTGATAGGTCTGGATTTAGGTCTGCCATTTTATCATTTCCTTCTTGTTCTGTTTTTCATTTTTTCTGTTCCCGCCCTTCTTCATTTGTTGAGGTTATAGTGTTCCATTTTAATTTATCAGTTATGATTTTGACTATATCTCTGTATAAACTTTCAGTGATTATTCTAGGGGTTACGGTATGTATAGTTAACTTTCCACATTTTATTTAGAATTAATATTTTACCACTTCAATTGGAACAGAGAAACCAGATCACCTGCATTTGTTTTGTATTGCTCCCATAACAAATAATGAAAAAATTAGTGGCTTAAAAAGATAAATTTATTACTTTTCAGTTCTGAGAAAGTCTGAGATGGGTCTTGTCAGGCTGAAATCAAAGCGCTGACAAGAATGCATTTTTTTTTTTTGGAGGCTCTAGTTGAGAATCCATTTCTTTATCTTTCTCAGCCTTAGCAAAATTCCATTTTTTAAAATTTTCATCAACAGCCATGTTTAGCTGATCAGTCAGCTAAGGACTGATCTTAGCTTTTAGAGGCCGCCCACATTCCCTGACCCCTTTCTCCATCTTCAAAGCCAGAAACAGTGAGTTAAGTCTCTCTCATTGATGCATCCCACTATTTTGTTTTCCTCTTCCACTTTTAAGGGCTCATGTTACTTGATTGGGCCCACCAGGAAAACAAAGGTTATTCTATCTTAAAGTCTGTTAGATCCCATCTACAAGTCCTTTGTGCCACATAATGTAACATATTCACAGGATCCTGGGATAAGGATGTGGGTATCTGGGGTTAGGGAAGGGAGATTATCCTGTCTACCATACCAGCGTATAGGTCTCTTCTCCCATAATATAATAATACATAAGTTGTCTTATATATTACATCTAAATACAGTGAAAATTTGTATCAGACCATGTTTAACTTTTGATTTCAACCATAAGCCATACTTAATTTCAAGAGAAAATAAATGGTCTATTAAATTTTAAGATAGTCTATTCAATTAAAATAGAAAGGCTATTGTATTTTTCACTTGCATTTCCTTGATTTTGATATTCCATATTTCCTTCTTGTACCATTTCTCATCTGTTTAAGAAGGCCTTCTTGTTATTTTGTGTCAGGTCTGCTGCCTCCAAATTCTCTTAGTTTTTCCCAATCTGAGAATATATTTTTCACCTTCATTTCTGAAGGATATTTTAGCTAGATATTGAATTCTATACTTTTCTTTCAACACTTGAAAAACGGATGTGCCATTTTCTCCTGGCCTCCATGATTTCTGATGAGAAATCTCAGCCATTTGAATCATTGTTCTTCCATATATCAGTTATCATTGCTCTGACTGACTTCAATATTTTTTTAAGTTTTTAGCAGTTTATGATGTGCCTGGGTGTGTGTTTATTTGGATTCATCCTATTTGGGGTTAGCTTAGCTTCTTGAATCTATCAATGTTTCAGCCATCATTTCTTTGAATACTTGTTGAGGCTTACTCACTTTCTCCTTTCCTTCTGGCACTCCAGTGATACAAATATTAGCCTTTTGTGATTGTTCTATAATCCCGGAGACTCTATTATTTTTCAATCTTCTTCTTTCTTCAGATTGGATAACCTTTATTGATTTATCTTCAGTTTTACTGACTCTTTCCTCTGTCATCCCCAGTCTGCTATTGAATCCATATAGTGAGGTTTGTTTTTTATGGGTGGAGAATGGGTGGGGCAGGCAGCTATTGTATTTTTCAGTTCTGGTTTCCATTGGTGCCACTTCACATCTTTCCTCGCTTATAGTTTCTATCTTTTATTTCAAGACTCATGATTATTCATTTGAGCATTCTACAATAGCTCCTTTAAAGTCATATTTTCATTTTCATCTGTTAATTGCCTTTTCCCATGTGAGTTAACATTTTTACATTTCTTCATAAACCAATATAAATTATACCTTGGACATTTTGAATGTTATAAAACTCTCTGCTTTATTTAAGTCTACAAAGATGCTGATATCATTGTTTTAGGAAGCACTTGATCTGGTTAGCTTCTAGCCATAAATTGCAGCCCACCTTCTGTTGGCTATGGTTCCAATTATCAGTTTAGTTTTCAATAGCTATGCAGGTTCATTTAGATATGCCCTGCTTGTATAGGACGTAAGGTCAGTCTGGGACTTGAGTGGAGTTCCACCCATTAACTCCATTCTCAAAGTCATTGGTACGCTAATAAGGATCAGATCCATGTATGTTCAGGCTATGGATGAGTCCATGAGTCCACAATGTATTTGATCATTTCCCAAGCCCTTCCTTCTCAGCTGTCTCCTGTGATACTTTCTGGCATCCTAGAACTCACCCTTTTTCATTCAACAATCGGGAACAACCTACATCTATGATCATACCAGGGTTGTGGGGAAGACACAGAGAGATTTAAAAAACAAAACAAATTAAAAAACCCAATTGGCACCACTAAGAGCTACCAAATAGCTCTATTTTACCGAATAGAAAGCATATGCCCCTCCCTAACCCATTATTTTTGCTTCTGCAGTTTCCTACCACCAGCTGCTTTTGCTGCCACTGCCTCCACCACAAGACTGTTGGGGAGCCGGGGCATGACAAAAGTGAGATAAAGGAGGCACACAAGGTAGGGGATTTCCCCCTCCCTCTTAGCTTCAGGACTTCCCTTTTCTCCTTGGGCCACAGCTAGAGGTCATCTCTTTCTCTTTCCTTCTGAGATCCACTGCTAACATCTGGATCTGGGACTGCATTAAATTCACGCTGGATAATTGGTCCAGTTTTGTCATGACCCAGCTCCAGGGGATCTATGGATAGAGACAGTCAGCAGTTGGCACTGGGAAACTGCAGGAGCCAATCTGATGAATGAGGAGAATGGCTTTCCTGTTTGTCGAAGCTGTAGCTTTACTTTTCTGAGACTTCAACTAGCTTTACCATATATTTCATATTTGTGTTCAGTGGAAGAGAAACGTTGAAGTGTTTTTATTCTAACTTATTCAGAACCGGAACTCATTTAAGTTTTGCAAAGCACGCTGACCATAGTTTCTCCAAGTATGTGAGTAGTACACAACCACGTGCAGAAAATTATAAACATATAAACACAAAAAGATATGCCCAGAGAAAATAAGGATCCTTAAGGTGTATAAAGCTAATACACCCCTGGACTCTTTTGTACCTGAAAATGTCACTTCTCCAATAAACAGCGTATTTCCCAGAACAATATATTTTCCAGAATAAGCAACAACAGCATAAAATACAGAATAAAACAACAAAATAAACAACCATGTATAAAGAATTACAAACATATAAACATAAAAAGATGTGTCCAGAAAAAAAAAAAGTGCTCTTAAAGTACGTAATGTACGCTTGGTCTCTTTTGTGCCTGAAAATGTTACTTCTCCAATGAACAATGTATTTTCCAGACAAAGCAAAACTTAAAGAAATAATAAATCTAAGAGTCAGGTTTGGAAAGGCTGCTGAGACAAATTCAACTATCTGAATATTATATTGTTTGCTTCCTCTCGAAGGATATTTAAAAATAAACATATTTGTTCCATTTTCTACCATGACTCAAGTTCATAGGTTATTGTCATAAACACTCAAAAGGCTATAAGCTAAAATGTGACCCTTGAAGAGCAGGATCTCTTCACAAAACATGATACCTATGCTACCCTACCTGGTAATCTTCAGCTTTCATTTATTGAACAAAAATATGCATTTTCCCTCTCCAAACCACTAACGGCAGAGCAAGGTCTTTACAGGAAATGGCCCCAAGCCGAGGAGCCTAATGGAAGCTTCATTTATTATGGTTTTAAGCCAGACATCCTCCCCAGCTGGCCTCTAGCAACTGGCCAAGCAGAAAAAGAAAACAAACCTTTTTAATACCAGCCCCCAAATCTCTGATTGAGCTCATACTGCAATGTTACCTGAATAAGAACCGCAAGGTAGGAAAGAGGTTCTCAGAATGGAACAGCATAATTTTACAGAGCATTTTAGAGCTATTCAGTAACACTGACTCGGATTGTTTCTCAAACTTCTTTTTTAATATAAATGGGACAAAAAGGTCTGGCTTTCACAATCTAGTATCAATCCAAATAACAGACTAGCAAGCAGTCACTAGTCAGAATGTGTCATTACTGGATATTTTTTTAATTAACCATCAAGATTTGTTTTTCTTACCAGTCGAAAGGAAATTTCATATCACGTCATTTTAACATGAGGGAAAAAGAATAACAAAAATAGGGTCAATAATAGTAAAAAATCTGATGGTGTATGCCTACCTTATGATAAAGATAAAGGCAAATGTAATTATATAGACAGATTATTCTGCACTTTAATAGAACTGGGAAAAGAATTTATATACCTTGGTGCATTTAATTATGCTTGCGGCAAAAACAAATCTCTCCTCTTTTCTAAAGGAGATTATCCTTCATAAAAAGCTCTCTCTAGATCATTTCCAGAGGATAAACAAACCATTTCCCTGCTTTTAAGATAAATTTGGCTCTTTTCTTCCAAAACACAGATTCCCTATCTACCATTTCAACTTTTTACTAAATGTGTAATCTAATTACAGGTGGAGAATCATTTCATATACTAGACATACTATTTAAAATTATACCACGTGGACAGAAACCCCTTCAAAATTAAGATCAACTAAAAGAACCGGATGAAATTTTCAGCCCCACCATCCATGTTCTTGGAAGGAAACATAATGCATTAATAGAGAAGTAAGATCCTATCTTCTCTGGTTAATGACTAGAAGTGGGACAGGGTATGACCCCTAGAAATCTCAGTCATTTGAAAAGACCCTAGAACTGCTTACCTCTTTTTCAGTCATTCCAAATTCATATAGTGTGCTTGGAGAAGTTTGGAGAAAAGGAAAGGGAGGAAGGAGCTAGGGTTTCGGAAACATTCAGACACTTACACATCCACTTTAATTCCAATCTCTGATGAGATATTTACAGTTACTATCTTGCCCTGAAATGACCAGAATGAATTCAATAAAATGTGTAAGTGACTTTTAAGTGAACCCTAACGAAGTTAATGTACCATTCAACAAAAAAAAATAAATTGTGAAGCAAAGCATAATTAGCTAGTCTGAGGTTGCTATGTTTTTAAAGGTCTGCCTGCAAGGTTGGCCCTTACCTGGCATCAGTAACTTGGATTTTGGGAGATTCCCCACCACGCTAAGTGATAAGAGTGGGTCACTATGCACAAACTGTATGCAAACAACTTGGTTTATACTAATTATCTGCCTTCCTTCTGAGAGTCTAGAATTTGAGCACATGTTAGGTAGAGGTGCCTTTGTGACCAGCTCCCAATAAAAAGCTCCCTAAGGAACTTCCCTGGTGGAAAACATTTCACACATGTTGTCAAACTCACTGATGCAGGAATTAAACATGTCCTGTGTGACTCCACAGAGAGAGAACTCTTGGAAGTTTATGCCTGGGTTCTTCCAGATTTTCTCATCCACTTTTCTCTTTGCCACTATTATTTTTTCCCTGCTATTCCTGTGGTAAATCATAGCTGTAGGAGGAAAGGTTGAGTCCTCCTAGAGAATTACCAAAGCTGAGAGTGGTCTTAGAGACCTGAACCCTGAAATATTAATCAAAATTTTAAAATTTCAACAAAAATACAAAGTGGGCTTCAACACTATACTACCTGCCTTAACTGAGATCTTACCTAATCTTTTTAAAAACTTTTTTATCCTAAATAGTTGTAAAGGCCTTTTAGTGTTCTAACCCTGCTATTTTTCATATACCTCAGCCCATAATCATTTTCAGATCCCTGGGCCAATAAGCTCCAAAGATTCTTAGCACTGGCTATGCATTCTCATATGCACTTCTGTGCAATCACACTGCCTATGAACATCTCTGTGAAGACTTTCCCACCATTCCCTAGCAGACGAAACCACTGTCCTAAAACTGAATTTATTTCATCCACATATTCTATTATATATTATTTAGGGATATATAAACATATTTTTAATAAACTTTACATAAGTCGTACATGACTACATGCTTTTCAATCAGCATTACCTTCACGAATTTTACCCACAATGATAAATGTAGCTTCATTAAAGCCATTTTAAGAGTTGTATAGGATTGCATTATGGAAAGATCTATAATATATTGATTAATGTTCCACAGATGGTTACTTAAGATGCTTAACTCTATTATACCACTACAAAAGGATTTAAAGAAGATACTTAGACTTGTCTTCTGATGTACACGTCAGTTTCTCTCTCTGTTTTTCAGCCAAGTATAAACTTCCAGTTAGAAGTGATTAGTAATGGGTGAAGAATATTTGGTTGTTAAAATGGCCATGGTAGGGAACATAACTCATAGTGTGTGCAAATTAGGGATATACAAAATATTCCACAAGAGAGACTTATCCTGTCCAAATTACCAATAAGGTCCCATTGAGAAACACCATACCTCAGAGTAGAATTATTGGTTTGTAGGTCGCATATATTTTAAACTTGACTAGCTAGGTATTGCCAAACTATTCTCCAAAGTAGGTATATTAATTTATATTCCTGATGCAGTTAATGAGTTCCCATTGTGCAACATCCTTGCCTGCACCTATAATTGCAAGCTATATATTTGCCAATCTGAAATGACGAAAGGGGATCTAATAAGTAGCTTTTTAAAAAACTTTATATGGTGCCAAGAGTCATTTAAAAAGAAAATTTGGTGAGTTCAATGTATCAATTTTTTAATGTATTGTGTTTTGGGGTTGGAATATGTGCAATGCATATGGTTTTAAAATACTCAAGGTGGGGACCAGCCAAGATGGCCAACTAAATGCAGCCAGGAATAGCTTCTGCCACTAAGAGAGACAAGACTATCAATTAGACTGGCATATTCTGAACAGATCTTCAGAAAGAAGGTATTGAGAGGGGACAGAGGGAGGATGTAGACCCCAGGCTGAAAGGTAAGAAGCTGGGAACTCTACATGGGGTTGCCAAGCAGTAAGACTCATTCCTGGCCCCAAACAGCTCCTAGGAAAGGGGTGAATGAAATAGGCATGGAGTGGTCCACTTTCACCATAGACCTTTGAGATCCCAGCTGCAGGATATCCCACAACCCCCCCAGATATTTAAGGTGGCAGGGAGATCTTCCCAGATAGTTAGCAGAGACAGAACTCCAGCCTGTGCAAAGCCAAGGGGGGTTGGCATGGGACTATCTGCCATGGAGCATGGCCATGAAAGCCCACCCCCCAAGGCTTGGCATACTCCTCTAGGCAGCATTAGCCTTTGTTAGCTGCTGGACCCCGACAGAGCAAGGATGTCTTGCTATGGGACAGGAACAATCTGATCTGAGTGTTCCACCTGTCTGCTGGCCTCTCCCAGGGTCCCTGCCTGGCCACACAACTTACAGCGCAGCCTCAGCTGCCCAGCCAAAGCATTTACAAGCAGCCACTGCCATAGGTTTTTCAACAGCAGACCCCACCTACCTGTCAGAGTACTTTTGCAGAAAGACCTCTGCCGGTGTGCACCCACCCACAGCCTTCTTCTGCCTGGTGCACCCACCCACAGCCTCCTCCCACTGCCTCACCAGTGCACACACATATAACGACACACCACCGCCCCACTGGATCACTTTTATTGGCAGCCCCCATCAGAGTGTTGCTGCTAGGGGACTGTGAACACTTCAGCTCCTCCAGCACAGCAGGTGCTTAACCTTGAGGGGCCAGAGAACCAAGCTGCTGGCCTGTTTCCAGCCCCCAATGATAAGGGCATGCAGGCCAGGAGTGCTAAACTGAGCCTTGCCTCCCTGAAAGCATCCAAAAATGAAGCCAGTTGGCTAAACCTAATTTGCACTACAGTCAAACCCTCAAGGGGATCAAAGAGTATAAAAGCAAAAAGCCCCATCAAAAAGACAGTGACTTAAAAGATTAAAGGAACATCAGCCCATACAGATGAGAAAGAACTAGTGCAAGATCTCTGGCAACTCTAAAAGCCAGAGTATCTTCTGACCTCCAAATGACCACACTAGCTCTCCAGCAATGATGCTTAACCAGACTAAAATGGCTGAAATGACAGACATAGAATTCAGAATCCAGACAGCAAGGAAGCTCACTCGTCAAGATATAGGAGAAGGCTGAAATTCAATCCAAGGAAAACAGTAAAACGGCCCAGGAGCTGAAAGATGTCATAATCATTTTACAAAAGAATCAACTGAACTTCTGGAAATGAATCACTCATGACAGAAATTGGATTGCAATTGGAAGCATTACTAACAGAAGAGAGAAAGCTGAGAAAAGAATCTCAGAATTCAAAAACAACTTATTTGAATCAACGCAGGCAGACAAAGATAAAGAAAAGAGAATTTTAAAAAATAAACAAAACCTCAAAGAAATATGGGATTATGTAGAAGACTACACCTATCACTCACTGGCATTCCTGAAAGACACAGAGTTAGAAAGCAACTGGGAAAACATATTTGAGGATATAAGAATATTATCCATGAAAATTCCCAGACCTCACTAAAGAGGTCAACCTGCAAACTCAGGAAATTCATAGAACCCCTGCAAGATACTATACAAGATGACTTTCACCAAGGTATAGAGTCTTCAGATTCTTTGAAATCATTGCAAAAGAAAAATTCTTAAAGGCAGCTAGAGAGAAGGGGCAGGTCATATACAAAGGGAATCCCATCAGGCAAAGATGGGCCTTTCAGTAGAAATAATTGCGGGCCTATATTCAGTATATGAAAAAAAAATAATTCCAACCAAGAATGTCATATCCAGCCAAACTAAGCTTCAAAACTGAAGGAGATATAAAATCCTTTTCAGACAAGAAATGCTAGGGGAATATGTTACCACTAGACCAGCCTTATAAGAGGTCCTTATGGGAATGCTAAACATGGAAATGAAAGACTGTTACTGGCCATCAAAAAAATATACTGAAGTACATAGCACACTGACACTATAAAACAACTGCACAGTCAAGACTATATAACAAACAGTGAACATCACAACAACAAGATCAAACCTGTATATATCAATATTAACCTTGAATGTAAATAAGCTAAATACCCCACTTAAAAGACCCAGAGTGGCAAGTTGGATAAAGAAGAAAGACCCAACTGCATGTTGTCTTCAAGAGACCCATCTCAACTGCCACAACATCTATAGCTTCAAAGTAAAGGGATTGAGAAAGATCTATTAAGCAAATAGAAAACAAAAGAAGCAGGGGTTCCTATTTTTTTCCAGACAAAACAGAGTGCACTAACAATAATCAAGAAGGACAAAGAAGGACATTCCATAATGATAAAGAGTTCAATTCAACAAGAAGAATCAACTATCCTAAATTTATATGTACCCAACACTGGAGCAGCCAGATTCATAAAACAAGCTTGTAAAGGCCTAGAATTAGATATCCACACAATACTAGGGGGAGACTTCAAACCACTGACACTGTTAGGTCAAACTTTGTTAGTATTCCAAACTAAGAAAGATATTTGAGACCTAAACTCAACACTTGACCAAATGGACCTAACAGACTTCTACAGAATACTCCAACCAACAGTAACAGAATATACATTCTCATCTGCATGTGGCACATACCCTAAGATCCATCATATGTTTGGCCATAAAGCAATTCTCAACAAGTTAAAAAATATATACTAACCACACTCTCAATAAAAACAAAAACGAAAACAAAAAAGACCTCTCAAAACCACACAATAACATGGAAATTAAACAACCTGCTCTTAAATGATTTTTGGGTAAATAATGAAATTAAGGCAGAAATCAAGAAATTCTTTGAAACTAATGAAAACCAAGACACAACATATCAGAATCTCTGGGACACAGTTGGAGTTTAAGATGAAAGTGTGTAATGCTAAATGCCTACATCAAGAAGTTAGAAAGATCTCAAATTAACAATCTAACATCACACTTAGAGGAACTGGAAAAATGAGCAAATCAAACCCAATGTTAGCAGAAGAAAAATAACAAAAGTTGGAGTTGAACTGAATCAAATTGAGACACAAAAACCCATACAAAAGGTCAATGAAACCAAAAGTTGTTATTTGAAAGAATAAGATTGGTAGTGAGACTAATGAAGAAAAAAAAAAGAGAAGATCCAAATCAACACAATCAGAAACAACAAAGCAGACGTTACCCACGACCCCACAGAAATTAAAAAAAAAAAAAACCCTCGAGACTAATGGATGCCTTTATGCACACAAACTAGAAAACATATAAGAAATGGATAAATGGAAACATACAGCCTCCCAAGATTGAACCAAGAAGAAATTGAAATTCTGATCTGACCAACAGTGAGTTCTGAAATTGAATCACTAATAAAAAATAAAAAAAATTTAAAAACCTACGAAAAAGGAAAAGCCCTGGAATAGAAAAACTTACAGCCAAATACTACCAGATGCATAAGGAAGGGCTGGTACCAATCCTATTGAAATTATTTTTAAAAAATCAAGGAGGAGTGATTCCTCCCTAACTCATTCTGTGAGGCTAGCATCATTCTGATATCAATACCTGGCACAGACACAACAACAACAAAAGCTTCAGGTCAAGAACACGGGTGTAAAAATTCCCAGCAAAATACAAGCAAACTGAATCCAGCAGCACATCAAAAAGCTAAGCCACCATGATATAGTACTATTTCTGGGATGCAAGCTTGGTTCAAAGTATGCAAATCAATAAATGTGATTCATCGCATAAATAGAACTAAAAGCAAAAACCACATGATTATCTGAATAGATGCAGAAAAGGCTTTTGATAAAATCCAAAATCCTTCATGTTAAAAACCCTCAACAAACTAGGCATCAAAGGAACATAATAAATAAAAAGAGAGCAGCAAACCCACAGCCAGCATCATAGTGAACAGGCAAAACCTGGAAGCATTCTCCTTGAGAACCAGAACAAGGCAAAGATGCCCACTCTCACCACTCCTATTCAGCATAGTACTGGAAGTCCTAGTCATAACAATAAAGCAAGAGAAAGAAATAAAAGGCATCCAAATAGGAAGAGAGGAAGTCAAACTATCTCTCTTCAAAGACTATACAATTCTTTACCTAGAAAACCCCATAGTCCCTGCTCAAAGCCTCCTAGAATTGATAAACAAGTAAATTTTCAGGATACAAAATCAAGTAAAAAAAAAATCAGTAACATTTCTATAAATCAGTAATGTATAAGTTGAGTGCCAAATCAAGAACACAATCCCATTCACAATAACCACAAAAAGAAGAAAATACCTAGGAATGAACTAACCAGGGAGGTGAAAGATGTCTACAACAAGAATTACAAAACACTGCTAAAAGAAGTCAGAGATGACACAAACAAATGGAAAAGCATTCCATGCTCTTGAATTGGAGGAATCACTATTGTTAAAAATGATCACACTGCCCAAAGCAATTTACAGATTCAATGCTATTCCTATTAACTACCACTCATTTTTCACAGATTTAGAAAAAAAACTATTCTAAAATTCCTATGAAACCAAAAAAGAGACCAAATAACCAAAGCAATTCTAAGCAAAAAGAACAAAGCCAGAGGTATCACACCACTCAACTTCAAACTATACTGCAAGGCTATAGCAACTGTAACAGGATGGTATTGGTACAAAAACAGACACACAGACCAATGGAACAGGTTATATAACCCTGCTGATCTTCAACAAACTTCGACAATAACAAGCAATGGAGAAAGGACTCCCTATTCAATAATAGTGGAGGGAGCTGTAGGCCATTATCCTAAGTGAATTAATAAAGGAACAGGAAACCAAATACTACGTGTTCTCCCTTATAAATAGGAGCTAAACACTGAGTACATATAGACACAAGGAAGGGAATGACAGACACCACGGCCTACTTGAGGGTAGAGGGAGAGAGGGATTTTCAAAAAAAACTACCTGTTAGGTACTACGCTCACTGCCTGAAACCATTAGTACATCAAACCCCAGTGACATGCAATTTACTCATGGAACAAATCTGTACATGTACCTCCCTGAAACTAAAATAACAGTTGAAAAATAAAAATCAAATCAAATCAAATCCTCAAGGTCATAAATATATTATCATATGTTTTTCTAGGAAAGCTCTAAAGTTTCACAACCAGTCATTTACTCTATCCTGAATTGTTAATGGTTTTAGATGGGGGTGATATTTCTTTGTTTATCCATTTGGATAATCTAATTGTAAAGCACCCTTTACTGCAAAGACCAACCCCAGCCCTTAATGATTTGCTATGCCATCCCTATCAGGTACAGAGTTTCCATAGGTGAGGACTATACCTGGTTATCTATACCTGTGTCAATACCGTATAATAATTAATTGCTATAGGTTTACCATAAGTGTTGATACTGAGCTGAGCAAGCAGTCCACCTTGTAGTCCTTCAAATTGGTTCCTATTTTCTTTGCTCTTCTATTCAAATTTTAGAATCCATTTGTCTGGGTATCTGTACCTCCGAATAAAAGCAGAAGACATTCTGATTGGCAATTAATTTACAAATTAATATTAGGGCATTTGACAGCTTCATGATATTTTCATCTCCCAAGCCATGAATATACTTTTTATATCTTTTTTTGTAATGAACTATGTTTAGAGCAGTTTTAGATTTACAAAGACATCGTGTAGAAAGTATAGAGATTTCCTCTGCTATATACTACCTCTGTCCATCCTTTTTAACATACATTTCTTCGCTTTTATTTACATCTTGTATTAGTGTGATACATTTGTTATAATACAATTGTTGAACCAATATTTACACATGATTAACAACTAAATCTATAGTGTAAATTAAGGTTGGCTTTTTGTGTTGTACAGTTCTATGGGCTTTGACAAACATATAATGTCCTGTATTTACCCTTACAGTATTATACAGAGTAGTTTCTGTACGTCATAAAAAATCCCCTGCTTTGTCCATTCATCCCTCTCTTACCTCCCCCTGAACCTCTGGTAGCCAGTGATTGCATTATAGTCTCTATAGTTCTGTCCTTCCCAGAATGTCAAAGAGCTGGAATCACATATTACATAGCCTTTTCAGACTAACTTACTTCACTCATGAATATGTATTTAAGGTTCCTCCATGCCTTTTCATAGCTTGATAACATTTCTTTTTATCTCTGAATAATATTCTATTGTCTAGATGTGCCATAGTTTATCCATTTGACTACTGAAGAACCTCTGGGCTGCTTCCACTTTCTGACAATTATAAATAAAGCTGCTAGAAACATCCATGTGCAGGATTTCGTGTGGACCTAAGTTTTCAACTCATTTGGGTAAATATTAAAAAGCATGATCACTAGATCAATGGTATCTATATAACTTCAGTCTTCAATGAGCAGTTAGTTATATTTTTAAATTTTCCTACTAGGCATCTTGCCCATATTTTGATAAATTAATTCCTAGGTATCTCATAATTTTGTAGTTATTAGTATTGTATTATAATTTCCTCATGAGCTGATAGTATGTAGAAAAGCAATTGACTTTTATATGTGGATTCTAATTCCAACCATCTTCTTGAAATCATTTTTCACTCCAATAATGTGTCTGTAAACTCTAATTATCTATGATTTTCTATGTAGACAAGCAAATTATTTTCAAATGAGGACAGTTTTGTGTCATCTTTTTCAAGTCACTTAATTTTTTTTTTTTTTTTTTTGGGCTTCCAACTCAATACGTAACAGTAGTTGTGATATTAACCATCCTCGTAATATTCCTTAAGACATTTTAGGCTAAGAACATATCTCTTTTTTTTTTTTTTTTGGGTTAGTTTACTAACAGCTCTTAAGATGGACAAGTGCTGAATTTTGCCAAAAGATTTTTTTCCTGCATCTGTTTAAGTAATCATGTTTCTTTTCTCCTTTTATCTGTTAATGTAGTAAATTACATTGATATTCTAATGTTAAACTATCTTTTTCATTCTGAGATATAACCAAATATTTCTTATTTGCATTGTAATATTTTAAAAATACCATTGCTGAATTCAGATTACGAACATATTATTATTTGTCCATACTAGTTTACATGTAATATCAACCTGTAATTTTTCCTTTGTTCTTTGTTTAGGTTGAGTCATGTGTTATACTACTTTCAGCAAAGAAAGACTTAGTGTAAGAGTGGAATTTCTTACTTAATTGCTAGAACTTACCTATAAAATTGCCTGTGCATAAAGGTTTTCTTGAAAATAGTTATTTAACTGGTGATTGAATTGAATTTTTCATTGGTTTTAAACTCATTTAGGTTTTTTACATCTTGTATTAGTTTAATAAGTTCCATATTTTTTAGAAAAGTATAGATTTTTATCTAGGACTGTAAACATACCAACATAAAATTTCATTATATTGCTGTTTTAATCTCTGTCCTGTTTATGAATATGTCCCTATTATTTTTAGTATTATTTTTTCTGGCATAGAATACAAAGAATTAATGAAGCCAAAGTTGTTTCTTTAAAAACACTTATAAAGGCCAGGCACGGTGGCTCACACCTGTAATCCCAGCACTTTGGGAGGCCAAGGCGGGCGGATCACAAGGTCAGGAGATCAAGACCATCCTGGCTAACACGGTGAAATCCCATCTCTACTAAAAATACAAAAATTAGCTGGGCATGGTGGCAAGTGCCTGTCCCAGCTACTCAGGAGGCTGAGGCAGGAGAATTGCTTGAACCAGGGAGGCAGAGGTTGCAGTGAGCCAAGATCCGCGCCACTACACTCCAGCCTGGGAAACAGAGCGAGACTCCATCTCTCAAAAAAAAAAAAAAAAAAATGCTTATAAAACAGAATATCATTTCTTGTTTGCTAAATCTTGGCAATCTTTTTCATCTATGTTTTTTCTATTTTATTATCACCTGCTCTTATCTTTCTTACAAGTTGATTTAAGAAAGGTTAAATTGATTTAAGTTGATTTAAGATTTAACAAAGGTTCCATGTTTCTGAAATGTAAAGGGTCCAGAACAGGCAAGATATAATCAAGATTATCAGTGAGTTGCAATAAATACGAAATTGATTTTGTGGTCTACAGATGCACAAATAGATGATGCAATAGAAAAAGACAGTGGAGAAAATGTAAAGATATGGAAAACAGAATCTTTAATTCACTTTAAAATTTATCTCAATTATCTTTTGAAATTTTCAGTATAGACATTTTTAATTTTTCTTTATTACTAGCATATAAAAGTAAAATTTACCTGTAAATACTGATCTTGATGATTTCTGTTATTCCTTCTAACACATTTTTGGTAACTATTTTCAGATTTTGTATCTGTACAACCTGATCACCTGTGACTAATACTAGTTTTATATTTTTTCCTAATCCTTATGACTTGTTTATTCTGTTATTTAATAGAAATGATAAGGGGCACCCTTCAGTTGTAAACACTCTCAAAAGAATCTTAAAAATTTCATCATTTAATTATGTTTTCTGTAGACTTTCTAAGATAAATACTCATCAAGTTAAGAAAATTCTCTTCTATTTCTAGTTTGATAAAAATTTCTATTGTAAGTAGCATTCACTGTAATTGCTTCTTCTGCAACCTTCAAAGCGATCATATGATTTCCTCCTTTTCTGTTAATGTGAGAAACTATACTGATCTGCAAGTATTTACTCATCCTTTCACTGCTGAAATAAATTCCACTGGGATAACACTTTTATATATCAGACTAAGTTCTACTTGCTAAGTGTCTTAGGATTTTTACACCTATGTTCATGAAAGAGTGTAGTCATAATTTTCTATTCCTGTGATGTTTTGGTAGAAACCATAGAGTTGGAAAGCATGACTTCCTTTACCATTTTCTTAGAAAGTTTGTGTAAAATTGGTGGCATTTTTTAAAAGGATGCATCAGTAAAGCTCTCTGGCATGCATGTGTATATATGTGAAGATTTTTAATAATAAATTTAAATTATTTAATAGACATCAATTCATTCATAATTTCTACTTCCTCTTTTGTCAGTTTTGTTATGTTTGCTGTTGTGGGGAGGGGGGAGTTTGTCCATGTTAAAGTATTTAGCTTATTGGACTAGAGTTATTCATAATATCCTATGCTTTTCATTTCTATATCATGTTTAGTTTAAAAATAACCCTTTTTATTGCTCATATTGGTAATATGCTTTTTTTCTGAACAATCCTGCAAGTTTATTAATACCTTCTAAAATTAATTTTTCCTCTGTTGATTTTATTTATTAATTTTGGTTTTTGACTATTTCCTTTTTGCTACACCTATACCCTTTGGGTTTCATTTACTATTCTTTTTCTAAACTATTGACATTGAAAATTAGATATTGATTTTCAGACCATACCTTTTGCTTGTTTATGCATTTGATGTTATAAATTTCCCTCTAAGCACTGAATTAGTTGCATTCCACAAGTTGTAATATGTCACATTTTCATTACCATTCAGTTCAGTATATTTCCTGATTTCTTTTTTTTTAGAGCATTTCCCATTTTCACTCATAAAATTATTAATCAAAATTCCAAAAGTAGATTCACTGAACCAGTGGTAACAAAATAGGAAATGAAATATTCCAGAGACATTTTGATAAGCTCCAAAGAAACACATGCTAGGCCAAAAATCTCCAGTTAAACCATGGTTGCACAACAAGTTATATTCATTCCTGCATTTTCTCAATAAGTTCTTCCTTATATTTGCCTGTCTCTTTTCCAACTTGTCAAGACTTGGCTTTGCATTCAAGAATTTTTTCTGATCCTTGTCCAGTTTTGGCCTGGTGAGAGCCACCTTGCTCAAGTGAAGGCCCACAGGGATGGTGGTGCCGTTGGCCCTCTCACACTGCACCTGCTCAATGTAGAGGACATATTTCTTTCTGAATAAGGGACACAAGGAAGTGTGTGTGGGTGTGCATGCATTGGGAAATGATGGATACACCTTGACTTTCTTTCTGTACAACTTGACTACTTGCCAATTTGTTAACCTCTGTAGTGTCCTCAAACCACCTGGACCTCGTGGTCCTTGCAGATGGGCATGGAGCAGACATTGTATTTCTGCTCAGCTCTTTGGAGAGCAGGGACGACATGACCTTCCTGCATACCTGCGAGGGGGCATTGAAGTGACGTTTGCAGTTTTTGCTGTGGTCCCAGGTCACCAAGCGATTGAACTTCATGGTGACTCTCTGGCTCCTATATATTTCCTGATTTCTATCTTATTCTATGACATATTGGATTTTAGAAATATAGTGCTTAATTTCTATATGGGGATTGTCTAGTTATGTTTGTGTAACTGACTTCTAGCCTAATTGCTGAGGATTAAGTCAGAAAGCAAATCAGTATGTTTTCAGTCCTCTGAAATTAGAGGCTCCCTTTGTGGCCCAGCACATGGTTAATTCTGCAGTTGCTGGGTTCTATATATGCCATTTAGTGAAAGGTGTTTGGCTGTGTTGTTTAGATCTATGTGCTTTTGATTTGTTCATCTTCTTGTTCTATCAGTAAAGACAACAGGTATTGAGAAAGCAATGTTGCTGCATTAACGGCACTCACTAAAGGGGATGAGAGACGGTATGTCACTATTGAGTCCAGCCCTACTAGAGAGTTCTAGGGTAATTCGCTGAGAAGTACAGGTTTTCAAGGGATAGCCTGAGATCAGTCTTGACTTTGTTGTGTTTCACAAGTCCAGCTGGAAAAGCCACATTGGCAGCTGGACACATGATTGTGAAGCAAAGAGAGAGGGCACATCTAGAGAAAGATGTTGAAGAGATTGGCAATTCAGATGACAATTGGAGGCATGGTAATGGATGACATTGCCAAGAAAATATAAAAGCCTTATACTATGACGATTAGCCTTAAAGAACTCCAACACTTAGTGGTTTCTTAGAGCAGCATAAACTTGCAAAGGAAACTAGAAAGACATAGCCAGAGAGGGGAAAAAAAAATATGGTGTTATCTTATGACAAATAGAACCCAAAACCGAAAAGCCAAAGGAAGGGTGTTTTATAGAGGAAGTGGTCAACAGTCTCAAGTGCTGTTTGGAGATCCAGTAACAATAATCTTGAATGTATCCATTTAGTGAAATGAAGATTACTGACAATCTTGATATGCATTGTTTTGATGGGAGAATGGAGAAGAAAATCTGCCTAAAGTAGGTTCAGAAGAGAGTGGGAAAGAAGGAAATGAAAGTAACAGATTAGATAACTAAAAAAAAAATTGGGCTGAAGGTCGAGCAGAAGAGGCTGGATCACAGAGGTAGACAGACGCAACACTCACGCTAAACGCACGTGCTTCTCTGGCTACAGTGTTCAATCAGTAATTACTCATTGATTGGACTGCTACCCCTCATCTCCCAATGCATGCACACCCACACACACTTCCTTGATCACCTTAGAAGAATAGTTATTATCTGCCATCCAGGTATAGACCCAAGTTTTGAAATTAAGCACCATCCAATAAAAAAAATTGTCTTAGCCATTACATACAAATATAAGAGAAGGCAATTCACTTCTTCACATAATTGAGTTTATTGGCCCTAGATTAAACCACACAGATGGATCTCTTAAACAGTTCCTACATTAGAACACAACCATTAAACTTCAAAGGTCCTGCCTAACATTATCACCACATTTAAAGGTTTCCTTGTCTAATAATTACCTGCAGAAACAGAACACCTGAACTATCTTTAGAACATCACCGGAATAAGGATAGTAGGAGGCAAAGGTATTAATTTCCAGTACAAAATCTTGTCCAACTTAGGTAAAGAAGTTATTTTAGGATGGTAAATGTAATTGAAAGGTTAGCCCAAAAGAAACACTAATTTAGAACAACAGAAACTTTATGCATATGTTCCAAAGCCATTTCTGGTGTGAAAAAGAATATGTTTCACAAATGGTGCATATTTTTAAGCCATAAAATCCAGACAAATTTTTCAGAAACAAAGCAAAATATTTTAAAGAAATCATCACATCTACCAAAGAGCAAGAAAGAAAATTTAAATTCAAATACCTATCTTTCAAATAAGTATATTATACCATTTATCTTTCTCTTGCTTCTAAAACATCAAGCCAGTAGTTTCTTTCATAACATAATCATTCAAAGCATGTCCCCAGCTCCTACCCATATTAACAGAAACAGCAAACACCTATTGTCTATCCAAAGAGCAATTACACCTCCTCCAAGCAGACAGGAAAACTCACTAATTCTAACATGCTACAAGTAGTTTTACTGATAACCTCTAGAGATTTGCAACCAATTTCAAAACATATACCCAAATATAATCACATCATTATGCCCTTAAGGTAGTCTCATGTAAGAATACAAGTATCATGCTTCCTTCAATTAAAAGAGATGAGAGAATAATATAATTGGAAGAGCAGTGAGTAGAGAAATCCAATTTTTGGACAACCTAATGTGTGGTATATCTTGCAAAGCTTATCAAAATTGTTTAGATGGGGAGTTTCCTGTAAATTATTAATTCCATCATCTGGATTTAAATCTATGTAACTAGTAGAAAGGATAACTTTTTTATGCACACACACTCTCGTCTCACATACATACACACAAATAGCATATGAAGTACTGTTGTAACTGACTGGTAACACTGTTGTGATTGACTGGTAATACAACCAAGTGTTACCAGTCAATTACAACTTCTTTGCCATTGCTGTTTTAAAATACTAATCCAGTCATCTGATACACATATTGACACCTAAGTAACGATGGGATATTCCAGCCACTAGGGATATATCAGTGAACAAGGCAGAGTACTTGCTTACATGAAAGTTATGTACTACTTGGAAGAGACAGACAATAATTTCTGTCTGTCTGTGATGGTAAAGGGAAGAGAAACAACCGAGTGGAAACAAAGGGTGGCTGTGGACAGCCAAGCATCTATTTTTCTATCATGCATCAGGAAAACACCCCTTAGATGAGGTAAGCAGAATGTGGAAGAAAGTGTGGGAGAACACCAGGGGGATACATGTAGCCAAAGAGCCTCTCACATAGCAGAAAGAGCAAGTGCAGAAGGCCAGGAGAGGGGGATAGGGGGTAGGCAGCCCACCTGGGGAGATGGAGAAAGAGCAAGGAGGCCAGTGTGGTTGGAAGAGAGCCAGAGAGGGGGACCACCAGGAGATGACCTCAAAGGGGAGCAGGAGATCGCATTGGACAGGTCCATGTAGGCCAGTCTGTGGACATCAGCTTTTACTGTGAGTGGGCTGGGAAACCACTAAAGGTTAAAAATGGCGTCAAACAATTCCTCTACTAGTTCCTACTAAGCATCTGGTCCTGTGTTCACTGCTTTACATACATCATCAGAAATCCTTAAAATGATCTTATACAATAGGTAATTTTACCTCCAACTTTACAGATGAAGCAAATGCAAACTGTTCAAGCTCACAGTGCCCGAAATTGAAGCCTCTCTATCTCAGTGTTGCTCAACAGGGGGTACTTCTGGCACTTGGGGTGGAAACATTCTTTGACATATGGGTCTGTTCTGTACACTGTAAGATGGCAGCTATCATAGTCCCCATCTCCTATGTGTCAGCAATGTCCCTGTCAGTGTGACCAGAAAAACCATCATATACATTTCAAAAGTCCCCAACAGGAACATAACGTCCACTAGCTGGAACCACAAGCATGGTGCCTGAATACCCTCACCACTGTGCCCTGCTTCTGTTATTTTATTCTGCTTGGAGAAAAGGGACAACTGGAAAAAAAATGTTACAATATAGATGGATAAGTGAAACGCTTTAGAGTTGAACCTTTTTTTTAGAGGTATCTTCCCTTACTTCAAACTCTGAAACAACAGTATCACGGCTAAATATCAGAGTTGGAACACAATTACCAAGCCCAGAGAATAACATAACATTCTTTAGCTACAGAGTTGAGCCCAGAGAGTCCTTGAAGTAATAAAACAACTTTCTGTGAACTCGGGAATATAATAGGCTCTGTGGAAAATATTCAGAGGTAAGGTCTTCTTCAGAACCTTGGTTATATTAAAATGTATTTGTTGAGTATTTCCTAACATGAAATACTAGAAAACTGTCTACAGCAATGGCTAATCACATATATGGGAGCCTGATAAATTTAACCCTTATAAAAGCTGCTCTGTCCACGAGAGAGCTTATACAAGACACACTGAAAATTAACACTGAGATATCAGTTTTCAATAATCTTCATAAGGCAATCATTGAAAACATATGATTCCAGATATCTGGAGTTGTAAAGACAAATCTACTCTATTATCTGTCTAAAACATCAATTATTCTATCAATTATTCTTACCCCTAAATTCTATCAATTATTCTTACACCTAAAGCCTGAATATTAGAAGAATTTGAAACTCTGCCCAAATCTTTATAAGGCACTTACTGAAAAAGATGACTTAAAATAATCAACATTTTAAGAATAAATCTATATGATTTGTGTAACTCATGATTCATGCTTAAAAGTGAACTTGAACAGAGCTTGAAAACTGACAGAATTTGAAACCCAAACTAACCAACCTCAGTGTGTCAACACGAGATACTTCAATGGGCCCTTTATAAATATCACGAAGTGCTAAGTGTGAAAGACAAATGAACATTGTTGGAGCAATTTAAAAAGTCCTTATACTAATCATTTAAACAATATTATTAAAATAGTATAATGCTAAGTGAAGAAGACACTAACATTGTTGGAGCAATTAAAAAACCCTTATGCTAATAGTTTAAAAATAATGTTATTAAAGTATTCCATCAATCCATCCCTGATTCAGAAGTGGAAATCTGGCAAACATGCTTTCCTTAGGTCCTAAAAACTACCAATAATATACAAAAAGATTAAAAATAAGAATCACTTAAAAAGTAGTCATCTCAGAGCTGACTCTACTCTTATCTCCTCAAAAAAAAAAAAAAAAGTCAATGTAGAAATGTTACCTGAGTATCTACTAGTTCTTATAAGAGTGGCACAAAACCTGTCCATAAGAAGTTTATGATCTACTGGTAAGAATTCATGGATAGCAAGGCAGTGTGGAACATATACTATGAATATACAGAAATAGAAGTTCTGACGGTATTTAATGAGGTGTTAATCACATAGTCTATACAAAGGAAGCCAGCCAAGGGAGAAAACAAGAAGGGGACACTTTCCCAAGAAAACGAGAAGGACAACAAAATAAAGATTGAAAAAGAAGAAAAGGAAAGTGGCCAGGCGCGGTGGCTCATGCCTGTAGTCCCAGCACTTTGGGAGGCCGAGGCAGGTGGATCACCTGAGGTCGGGAGTTCAAGACTAAACCTGGCCAACGTGGTGAAACCCCGTCTCTACTAAAAATACAAAAAAAAAAAAAAATTAGCCAGGTATGGTGGTAGGCGCCTGTAATCCCAACTACTCAGGAGGCTGAGGCAGGAGAATCACTGGAACCCAGGAGGCGGAGGTTGCAGTGGCCGAGATTGTGCCAATGCACTCCAGCTTGGGTGACAAGAGCGAAACTCTGTCTCAAAAAAAAAAAAAAGAAAGAAAGAATGAATTTGGGCCGGGCGTGGTGGCTCATACCTGTAATCTCAGCACTTTGGGAGGCCAAGGCGGGTTCATCACAAGGTCAGGAGATTGAGACCATCCTGGCTATCACAGTGAAAACCTCATCTCTACTGAAAATGCAAAAAATTAGCCAGGTGTGGTGGCGGGCACCTGTAGTCCCAGCTACTCGGGAGGCTGAGGCAGGAGAATGGCGTGAACCCAGGAGGCAGAGCTTGCAGTGAGCCAAGATCACGCCTCTGCACTCTAGCCTGGGCGACAGAGCAAGACTCTGTCTCAAAAAAAAAAAAAAGAAAGAAAAGGAAAGTAATCCAGACCCATGCCATTACATTTGAAACTAAACCAACTGCCTCCTAGAATGGCTAAAAGTAAGCAAGCAGGCAAACAAAACCAAACAAACCAAAAATCCTGACAATGCAAAGTGCTGGTGAAGATGAGGAGAAAGCGGAATTCTCATACATTGATTATAAGAATGTAAACTGGCACAGACACTTTGGAAAACAGCTTGAAAGTTTCTTATATAATTGAAGTATAAATTTCTTGTTTAATTAAATGTGACAGTTTCTTATATGATCCAGCAATCTCACAGGAGTTTAAGAGAAATTAAAAGAGATCTCCACACCAAGACTTGCACATGAACATTTAAAGAAACTATTCAAAGTTGTCAAAAACTTTAAAAAATCCATCTTTCCATTAACTCGTGAATGGATTTTTTTTAAATATGATGTGTCCATATAATGGAATACTACTCACCAACAAAAAGAAATGTACTTCTAATACACAAAACAACATAGCATAACGCTTATAAATTCCTCTAAGTGAAAGAATTCGTACATAAAAAGCAAACGTACTGTATGATATCATTCTTAATGACATTCTGGAAAAGGGAAAACTATATGGATAGCAATAAGACCAATGCTTGCTAAGGGGAAGGAATTGACTGCAACAGGGACAGGGAAACTTTTGAAGAGGTGACAGAAACCACCTACATTATGATTGCGGCAGTGGTGACAAGACTGCACGTATCTCTCAAACTCCAACAGCCATCTACCTAACAAGGATAGATTTTACTGTATGTAAATTATTCAAAAAGCAAACACAAAAACTGAATCAACTGGATTTCAGTTACATTACAAAGCAGTTCTTCAAAACAAACTGAATAGGTGCAATTCCCTTGAATACTTCCTGTCTTCGCCAGCCCAGTCAATGTGAACAAGTCACAGGTCACAGGTCACAGTGCCACTCTTAAATGTCTTCCAAGTCCCTCAAACATCACCAGCAGCCCTGTTGCACAAAATTGCAAAAATGTTTTACATTGTTCTGAACCAAGTTTTACATTTATCTGCTTCATTTTCTGACTCAACTCTTCATTGCTTTCCTTTTATATGGCAAGACGGGTAAGGTGGGTCTGATCCAAATGTCAAAAGCCAGAAAAGTGAGTCTGGCCTTTCAGTGAAACACATTCTCTATGGGCTCTCTGCCTTGCCTCTGATACCCTTCGTTTCCTTCTCTGCTGTTCACCTACCGCCCAACTACAGCAATGGTCTCCAAAATTGAGTGTTGGTACCTCAGTGTGGGCAGGGAGAAAATATCTGAACTTCAGCGTGTATTTATTTTCATTTTTAAAATGGAGGAAAATGTGTTGTTACTAAAATTTAATACACAAATTGATTTACTTATTTGGCAATATTTATTGAGCCAAGAATTTGTGCCAAGAGCTAGTCAAAGTGCTGAGAATGCAACAGTGAACAAAACAGACTGAGTTCCTGACCTTCTGAAGCATATATCTTGGAGGAGGAGACAGACAAATAATTATAATAATAAAAATACAAACGAGTCAAAAAAATATTTGCATGCAATTCACATAGTAAAAGTGCTAATGAATAATGCAGCACCAGGAAATGGAAGAGGCTGTGGCCCCCTCACATAATCCATAGATCAGTGACTCACAAGCTATTTGGAGCTGCTCTGATGCAAGAATGTAATGATCACAGTGCAGCAACACAGACCCCAGGCCACACACTCTCAGGATCATCCAGTGTGTGCATATTGAGACTGTAGAGCACGTGTGTGTGTGTGTGCGCGCACACGCATGCACGTGTATGTGTACAGCACAGCTAGCTACAGAGATTTAAAGATGTGATCTTGTCTTACTAAAAAAGAATCTTGCAAAGCAACTATGGACTGAAGACAATAGTCAAAACACAGACGAAAATACTGAAATTGTGGTAATTACACTCCCAGCGTGAGCTTTCTGAAATGAAATGATTAAAAATGTTGATGACATGTTTAATTACATTGCTTCTGCTAAAAAATAAGGATTTAATTATTAATAAATTGGGTGAGATCAAAAGCCTTCTACTTTCTAAGTTTTCAAATGTTTATATACTGTTTATTTTGCCTTCATTTTATCTTCCTTTTTAAAAAGGCTTCATTAAGATAATTTATATAATATACAATTTACCCATTTTAAATGTACAACTGAATAATATTTATTAAAGTTATTGAGTTACACAATATCTCTATGATCTACTTTTAGAACAGTCATCCTTCTTTTAATATCTCAACGCAAACAGTGGTGTACATCTTATATAAGCTATTTAATATCTCAATGCAAACAGTAGTGTATATCTTATATAAACTCTGAACTATGTATATATAATCTACAAGTAAGTAAGTGCATACACATGGAGTATATACTTTGAAATATTTAATAATAGAGTGCCATGAACCAAAAGCATGGAGACCTTGGCTTTAAGGTCCCAGCCACAATGTCCAAGTCCACGTGACCCCTTGGACAAAGTACACTGAACTCAGTCCCTTCGTCTGCCTCTGTCTGCCATTACCATTTTCATATAACCCCTGTTGCCTTTTTCTGCACTTAGAGTTAGTATAAGTGACTCATGATAAAATCAGAGGAAGGGCAAACGCAGAGTTCTTGTAGAGTCAAGTGTCCTGGCAATCCCATCATCAAAAGCAGGAGTCCTTGGCAGAGTTATTGCCTCATAGGTAGGCCTGGATATGGAAGTTAAGTAAACTGAAGCCAAATCTCCAAGATTCTGAGTGTAATGAGACACACATGTATACACAAACATATCACAAATCAGCACAACAGGCATACGCACATCAAAGTGCCCTATAACAAGGAAAAAATAATTATTCAGTTCCAGAAATAGATGTGTGCTCCCTGAAAAAAAAAATCCTTTATTTAAAAGATAGTGAGAATCAGGCTTTCCTTATTGGGACTGGTCAGAACTCAGGACCAAATTGAGAGTTTATATCTTCCAAACCTCCTAGTTTGTTCTAATATTACCTCAGCTTGATCTTCTCATACATGAGTATCCTTTACTCTAATTCCTCCCCTTCTTTTGTTTTTGTTGGTGTGCATAATCAAATTCTTAAGATGGCTAAAAACAAGTTACATATAAGTAACTGAGTGAGTTAATAGTTTACACTTGAGGGCTTATGTGCCAACCTATATTAAATACCTTAAATACATATTATCTTATCAATGACTGACATTTCAAGTAGACAATTTTTTTTTCTTTTTTGAGACAGAGTCTCGCTCTGTCGCCCAGGCTCTGGAGTGCAGTGGCGCAAACTCGGCTCACTGCAAGCTCTGCCTTCCGGGTTCACGCCATTCTCCTGCCTCAGCCTCCCGAGTAGCTGGGACTACAGGTGCCCGCCACCATGCCCAGCTAATTTTTTTGTATTTTTAGTAGAGACAGGGTTTCGCTGTGTTAGCCAGGATGGTCTCGATCTCCTGACCTCGTGATCCACCCGCCTCGGCCTCCCAAAGTGCTGGGATTACAGACATGAGCCACCGCGCCCAGCCTCAAGTGGACAATATTATTATACCCCTTGTACAGATGGGAAAACAATGACCGCCTGCCCAAGGGCACAAAAACAGTAAGTGATAGAGCAGGATTTAATCCTAGGCCATCTGAAACCAGAGCCCACTTTCTTCATCACTACACTGTGACACTTCCCATTTCAGGACATATGACAGAATGTGTAAGCTAACCAGGGTCCTAGGGAGGAGGCAAAGGTGATTCACTTGTTCAAGTGGAAGTAGGGACTGTGACCAAGAAGAAGTGAGGGACATCTAAGAGGTTTCAAGTGTCAGCACCAAGTAAGAGGAGTGCCAGAGAGAGAAACTAGGCCTTCCAGGTAGGAGGAGAATTTGAATCTACTCATATCTACCAGACTAAGCTCTTCGGAAGAAAGGGTTTAGCTGTTCAGCTGACAATTTGAAAGCCTTAAAAATTTACTCTAGTCTGACTACAGATGATTCTCATTTGTGAACTGGTATACTCGCTAAAGTTTCTTTATAACCCCACAGCACTTTTGTGGTCATTCACAGACACGTGCAAAAAAATGTGAATCACTCTACATGCATATTCCCAGAGGAGGCTGAAGAAGGCAATGTCTGCCTTCTTGTTTCAGCTCTCAAACTGTAACTCTTCTTTCCGTGGTCTATTTAATGCTGTGTTTTTCATCTCTTTGTGCTTTTGGTTGGTGACTTCACTGTTTAAAATGGTTCCCTAGCATAAAGCTGTAGTGTTGTCTGGTGTTCCTAAGGACAGAAGGCTGTGATGTGTCTTACAGAGAAGACACATGTTTTAGATAAACTTCATTCGGGCGTAAGTCATAATGCTGTTGGCTATGAGTTCAGAGTTAATGAGTCAACAATACGTGTTAAATGACATGTCCTTAAACAGAAACACATACACAATACCATTATCTATTAATAGGGTGGCAAAAATATTGTGGCCAGAGGCTGAAAGGAAGCTAACTTTGTATTTCCCCTACAAGCAATGGTCCAGTGTTTGCTATTTCAGTGTTTGTTTTGACTTGATAGAACATAACTATCGTGAACAATGAGACTTAGCTGTATGTATCTCTCAGAAGACACAATGCCCATTCACTATTCAGCCGAAAACCAAAGTGGATAATGCATCCTTCTCTGCTTACTAAACAGGTTTATGGACACAAAGTCACGAGTCTATATTCTACTATGAAGTCATGAGTCTATTTTCTACTATAAAGTCATGAGTCTGACTCTCCTTCTTTAACCTCTCTCCTCTACAATCTCTCATTTATACCACCAGAGCAGTGATCTGTTCAAAGCAGAGATGAAATCACCTTTAATGACTCCTGCAGTATATTTTCTACTACAAAGAAGAAATAAGGCCAGGTGCAGTGGCACACACCTGTAATCCCGGCACTTTGGGAAGCTGAGATGGGTGGATCACAGGAGGCCAGGAGTTCGAGACCAGCCTGGCCAACATGGCAAAACCCTGCCTCTACTAAAAATATAAAAATTACATGGCCATTGTGGTAGGTGGCTGTAATCCCAGCTACTCAGGAGGCTGAGGCACAAGAATTGCTTGAACCCAGGAGGCTGAGGTTGCAGTGAGCCGAGATCACTCCATTGCACTCCAGCCCAGGTAACAGAGCAAGACTCTGTCTCCTCCACGCACCCCCACAAAAAAAAAAAGAAAGAAATAGAGGTTTTTCCATAGAGAGTTATATGCCCAACTCCCTATATATTTATTTCACCATTAATATAACACATACCCTCTAAAATATGCTTTGAGAAGCAATATTTTAAATGTATACTAAATCGAAAATATAGACATTGCAGCTATGACTTTCCTATATCTTGCAATCACTGTTAGATTTGCTTTAACAATTAAAGTTAAATTTCAAAGTAAATTTACAAATCATGATTTTGAAAAATGGACCTAGGCCAATATAGTTTCAGCAATGTCTTAGTCATCTTCCAAAAGAAATAGTTCACTTTATAAATTGCTAAAAGATGGACTATGAAAAACACACACATCAGAAATTAAAACTACAATCTTCAAACACTTTCCAAATGAAGTTCAATTAACAAACATTATACATATTAAAAGGCATCATGAAATGTTATATTTAATAACTGTGCAATAAGACTATTATAAAGTTTCATTTATTGGTACTTAAAACAATAAAATAGTTTAGGTGACCAACTAAAAGCTCTTTAAATTTATTTTTTAATTATTTAAAGATAAGTTACCCTGAATAAAAGACTACAGTAGATTATACTGCTGTGATGTGTAAAGACAATAATTAGAAGGGAAGGAAATAAAACATTAGTTTTCCAAAAATATTTAAATATTTGTCTAATTAGATTAATTGCAATATACAAGAAATTAATGTTTTTCAAAGTCCTGAAATATAGTTTCCTAACCAATAAAGTAATACAACCTCACACAGACCACACAGTTTTAAGTGAGATCTTCAATCCAATGTACAATGAAAAACACTTCAGTTCACGAGTTTTAAATTATGACATGAATTCATTCTGAATCAGCATAAACATCAGCCAAGCAGGGGTTTTGGATAGCTTAATACATGGTTAGAAAAAAACTATTTCTTTTATTAACATGACCTAATGAACACTACCTGTGTCAATTAAAAGCGACACTATCTGGAATACAAAAACATCAACTACATATGCCTGGTTTTCAAAGTTCAGACCTCAGTGCAAATATCTCATGGTGTGAGGGAAACTAAACACCAACCTTTACTGAACAGGTACTACATTCCTGGTACTCAGTCACATGTTACAGACGTAATTTATATAATACTCAGAAGCATCCTGCAAGAATTACTAAAAGGCATAAAAGCCCCTACTTTATACATTACAGCCTGCCTGGCCACCGGTTGGTTTTTGATGGTAGAGTTGTCACTAAGACTCACAGCTGCCTAACACAGAATCCACATGCTATCCACTCCAACTGTTTTACCAATCAGGTGGTAGTGTGAACCCAAAAAGTGTCTCAGACAGGTCTCAATCAATTTAGAAAGTTTATTTTGCCAAGGTTAAAGATGCACCTATGACACAGCCTCAGAAGGTCCTGATGACAAGTGCCCAAGGGGGTTGGGGGTACAACTTGGTTTTATACATTTTAGGGAGACATGAGACACATCAATCAATACATGAAAGATACACATTGGTTTGGTCCAGAAAGGTGGGACAACTTGAAGCAGGGGTGGGTGGTGAGGAGGCAGGGGAGCTTCCAGGTCACAGGTAGATTTAAAAGTTTTCTGACTGGCAATTGGTAAAAGAATCATCAATAGAAAGGAGGGTCTCGGTCATGATAAAAGGTTGTGGACACCAAGGTTTCATCGTGCTGATGAAGCTTCCAGGTAGCAGGCTTCAGAGAGAACAGGTTGTAAATGTTTCTTACCAGACCTAAAGAACTATCACTGTTCTATTACTGTTCTTTCAGTAATTCCAAAAGGGAGGAGGGTATAATGAGGCATGCCTGGCTGTCCCCTCCCATCATGGCCTGAACTCATTTTTTCAGGTTAACGTTGGAATGCCGTTGGCTGAGAAGAGGGGTTCATTCAGATGGTTGGAGGGCCTTAGAATTTTATTTTTGGTTTACACAGTCAAATTAACATTTTGAAACTGAAGTGAAATAAAGGATATCTGAGAGTGTACTCTGAACCTCTACTCCCCTTCTCTCACCTCTCTCCTCTACAATCTCTCATTTACACCACCAGAGCAACGGTCTTTTCAAGGTAGAGATGGAATCACCTTTAATGGCTCCTGCAGATAAACTTTGTACAAGTTCAAAGTCCTTAATATGGTGTTGGAAGCCCCATTTACTGTCTGCCCACAACCTGTATTCCCAACCACTCTGTGGCCCATGAGAGAAGACGAGAGGGCAGAAAGAAGAAGAGAGTTGGCACTGTCACTCTGGAAAGAATGCCAGCCTATCAATGAAGGCTGCACCCTCCAATCATGAGATGATGCCAAAGCTGAACAAGAAAGTTGAGTGGGCTGGACTCAGGGGGTAGACTGCAGCCTGGAAAGGAATGCTAAAGAGATGGCAGAGCCTCTGAATGCACCATGGCAAGCCCACTGGATCCTGAGTCGGGGAGGAATTTTCGCATACCCTTATTGCCCCTGAGGAACAGGAGAAGTTTCCGTGGCCAGAATCCCCAGGAAAGGCACTCAAGGTTCCTTGGGTAGAGAAAACAGAAGTGAGAAGACAACATGAGAGGTACAGGTGGAGCCTTTTCATATATTCCAGAGATAAAGCAAATGACCTCACTGGTGAACAGCCAAAGGGGAAGAGAAAGTGGTTGAAGGAGATTAAGAACAGGGCAGAGATCAGAAGGTTCCTTACCCAATGTATGATCTGGAAAGGACAATTACATGGTGATGTGGAGGGCATTCAGTGCACAAGGGTGAGACTAAGCCATCTGCTATTCCTGTCCAAACAATAACAATAGTTTACAAATGACTGAATCAGGACAGGCGCACTCTTCCCTACAGTAGAGACCTGGGGAAGCCTTTACAAGCGATCATGTCCATCAAAAAGCAGTATCCTTCACCAAATGATCATACAGCAATAACCTGAACAAAAGGGCAACAAGCTTCAAAGTAGAAATAATCATCACAGAGGTTAAACCAACCTTGGGCCAGGTTTGTTTTTGGAGTTCAGAAATTTAAGAATTTAGAGAGTGTATCATATATTACACAATACCCTAAATGGTTTGGAGACAGTATTTCATCATCAAACATATCACAATTCAAACTTAATGGGATATATAACTACTACATAGAACAGAAATAGTTACACAAGAGTCCAAGTCAGAGTTTGCTACCAAACCCTGGTAAGGATTCTTACAAACAAAATCCTTTCCATTTGCAAAAGTTTCTGAATTGTGAATTTTTAGATAAAAGATTTATGAACTAGCAGTTAACAGCTGCAGTAACAGAACAGCAGCAGAAATAGGAGGAGAACATCAATTTCCCCTTCCTGATCACCACTCTGCCCCAGGTGCCAGGCTGTGCACTGTAGCATGTTCTCTTTAAAGGTGAAGAATTTGGAGTTCGATGAGCTTTATTCAGGACCTTTAGCAAACTTTTCTTCCCTTAGCCTCCCTAGGCAGAGTATGAGTACTAATGGTGTGTTTTTATTCAGGTCCTGCAATCCCATGACCTGGACTAGGCTGGGTGGGGTGAAGGGGGTCCCCAGAGTGAACTGAGTGAGCATGGCCCAGGGAGAGTCCAGCATAGCCACAGAGTGTAGGAAGAAAATATTGGAACTTCCATTCACACTGACTTAATGTGTTCTTTTAATCTCTATTTTAGTGTATGCTGAATAATGTATATATATTATCAGCACCATAGTACATGTACATAATTTATAAGTAAATATGTAAACTTATATATTGGGTGTGTCTGCTCAAAAAGTACCTGCTTGATAGGGCGTATGATCAAAAGAATATGCAGAGAACAGTTCTAGAGCATCTGAATAATTAAATCCTTTAACCTGTTGGAAAACAAATAACAAAACTGCAATACCAGGAAAAGAATTTGTTTTCTCCCTTTAGGCAATAACTATTTTCAGAACTGTATCTCTCCTTTTAGAAAGAAGAATCAGGTAATGAACATAATGCAAACCAGACAAGATGAAATAGACAAGATTTTTTTGGTTTTTTGGTTTTTAGTTTTTTAAGGCAAGCGTGATTTAAATAGGGTTTTCGGTAACTACCATTGTCACCTCTACTAAATGGTGTTTCTCTTGGGAAAATTCATTAACTATTAATTTCAATAAAGGATCTCATCTGTCTCAAGTCACTCTTACATTTACAAACTACACCATGCATGCACCACTTCCTTTTTACTTACTCTGGCACATTCAAATAATTTGCATTTTCAGAAGTAGACACAGATGCTTTTTTGTGGACCCAGGTGATGGGGCAGAGGCAGGATAAAAAGATTTGCATGTCCTTTGAGAGAGGAGTCACTCATAATTAGAAAAGAAATTCAAACTCACAATATAGAAATAAATCTGTTTACCATAACCTGGGCTTAGAGAAATCTGGATAACTGAAGCATTCATTTAGTTGTGACATTATTAAGTAACCAAGGAATTAGAAACCCTCCTGGGATTTGAGCACATAAATGTTCAATATGTGGCCAGGCACAGTGGCTCACACCTGTAATCCCAGCACTTTGGGAGGACGAGACAGGCAGGTTACTTGAGGTCAGGGGTTCGAGACCAGCCTGGCCTACATGGTAAAACCTCATCTCTACTAAAAAAAAAAAAAAAAAAAAATGACATGGTGGCAGGTGCTGTACTCAGGAGGCTGACACAAGAGAATTGCTTGAACTCAGGAGATGGAGGTTGCAGTGAGCCCTGAGAAGATCGCACCACTGCACCCCAGCCTGGGCGGCAGAGCATGATTCCATCTTAAAAAAGAAAATGGGCCAGGCACGGTGGCTCACGCCTGTAATCCTGACACTTTGGGAGGCCGAGGAGGGCAGATCACAAGGTTAAGAGTTCAAGACCAGCCTGGCCAACATGGTAAAACCCCGTCTCTACTAAAAATACAAAAATTAGCTGGGCATGGTGGCACACACCTGTAATCCCAGCTACTCAGGAAGCTGAGGCAGGAGAATCGCTCGAACCTAGGAGGCAGAGACTGCATTGGGCCGAGATCATGCCGCTGCACTCCAGCCTGGGTGACAGAGCAAGACTCCGTCTCAAAAAAAAAAAAAAAAAAAAAAAAAAAAAAAAAAACAACAAAGAAAATGACAACAAATATTTTTAAAATGTGATAGTTCTGAAAAAGCCCAAACAATTTTTCTTTGTAATGCTACCAGGGCATTGTAGGGAACATACACCACTGTTACCACACGCAAAATATATGGGAGATAAGGTTGAATTTTGTCTAATCTAGCATCTACCCTCAAAATTCCTCCTTTCAATGGATGCTAGGAATCTGCTTTCAAAGCCTGACTTGGCTTCTTACAAATTCATCAACTCAGTGGTCAAATCAGACAAGGGTCCTGCCTTTGGGAAGCTAGTGTTCCCATGAGGATATATATGTTTGAAGAGGGATGAAGCCATCCCACAGAGGATGAGGGAGCATGTGAGCAGAGACTTAAGTGACAAGAATGAGAAACACTATTTGAGAAAGAGGATTCCAAAAATAGGAATGGATCCATGCAAAGCCCCAAAGCCAGAACATGTTCCTTGCTTCTAACAGCAAAGAGGTCAACAGAGCCAGATCTGCCTGATCTATCAGTGACAGAATAAGATGATGTCAGAGAAGGGATGAGGGCCAGCAAAGACTTGAGGTTTTATTTTAAGTGAATTGGGAAGTCAGGGAGGAGAGGAGGTGAAGGTTGGTCAGAGGATTGATTGATTTGATTTGTCATGGATTTTCAAAGGATCATAGTGTCTGCTGTGTGGAATATGTTCCACGCAGGACGAGTCCAAGGAAGAAGACCAGTGGAAGGAAGGAGAAGTATCAAAGGTTCTTTGATTTATGATTTGTTTCTTCATTTTTAGCTTCCTGGTTATTCAGATTTCAGCATTGCTGGAAATACAAAACTATACACCGTATCTCACATTAACCACTGCCTGTTGGGTCCACTCAGGAAAGAGGAACATGGGCAAGTTGTGCTTCTTTTCAGAAAGGTCCCTTACTTCTCTAAGTCTCTTGCTCACAGAAAAGACCCAATTCTTGTGATGGTCTGCCTTCCTGATACTCACTCATGACATCAAAATAGCCTCTCAATTTAAACAACATCATGCAAAGTTTTGCAGCTATGTACTGAGACTGGCTATCTGAAAGGAGTCCCATATTTTGTAGGAGAACAGCTTAAGGACAAAGTTTAGTATATCATCAATAAAAGTTGTTATTCATCCAACAGACATGGGGAGGAGGGTGGTATATTTTATTCCTACTACAGGTTGAGTATCCCTTATTCAAAATGCTTGGGACCAGAGTATTTCTGATTTCAGATTTTTGTAGATTTTGGAACATTTGCATATACATAATGAGATGTCTTGGGGACAGGACCCAAGTCTAAACACTAAATTAATGTTTCATACACACCTTATATACATAGCCTAAAGGTAATTTTATACAATATTTCAATAATTTTGCACATGAAACAAAGTTTCGGCTGCATTTTGACTGTGACCCATCACACAGGGTCAGGTGTGGAATTTTCCACCTGTGTCATTATGTCTGCACTCAAAAGCTTTTGGATTTTGCAACATTTTGTAGTTCAGGTTTTTGCATTTGGGATTTTCAGCCTACAGATGTCAAGAAAATTCTGAGCACCAAAATGGAGCTGTGAGGAAAAGACAAAAGTTTTTATGCGACATCTGAGTAAATAAAAGTCATCCCTGCTAAAAATCAGATTGTGCTTCATTAACAGAAGTAAGTACAACTGTAAAGTCAACAAAAAAAATTTTCCTAAGAGCATTCCATAGTTGCTAAACAATGTAATAACTCCCTACTGTTGAATGATTTCTTTCATTCCTACCAACTTTCCTAGCTCTACTTCATTTCCCCTGCTTCCTGAGCAAAGATCACTAGGATACTCAATTGTGAAACTGCCTCGGCTTCAGAATAGCACTCAGTACAGAGTTGACCACGGCTTCTGCTGGTCCACCCTTAATGCCACTCAGCATAAGCCCAAAGCCCTCCTCCACTCTCTCCTACCAAATATCCCAGGATTCTTCACGAGATGCAACGTCCCTTCCTTGGCCTACAGGCATGTTTTTAGAGGTCTTTATGTAAATAGGATTTATCACTACTCAAGAAAGGCAAGTATGCATAAAATTAATTATTAAAATACTTATGTCAGTCATAAGTGCTATGACGAAAGTCAAACTGCTAAAAAGTTAATAATCTAGCCATCTATATCTAAATGGTTGCTAATATCATAGATCTCATTTACACAGAATAAAACCCTCTCTCTAGATTTGATACTAGAAACACTACGAAAACTAAAGAGATCTTCCATTCTACATTATATTCCTTCTATAATCAATCTAAACTCTTTCTATATTAGGTCTCTAAAGCACCTGTTAGATCAAGTTGGAAACTTAGCCATCTTCCCTAAAGATGTATTTGAAATCATTTATGCCCCAATTAGATGGGTCATCTCATAAACTAATTGGGGTATAGTTATATGATCAAAGTGTTAAGGACTATTTCTCAAAATTATTAATTGATGTTATCTCCTAAAGTTTGTCTTTAGGAAAAGGAAGAAGAACAGGTCTGATCTTCCAATAGAAAACTTCTAAAAAATTGTGTCTCCATAAATCCCAGCTTTGCCAAGCCCTGTGTCACATTCATTGACCTTTCCCATGCGTAACACATCTTTTAATAAAATGCCAGATAAAAAGAAACACATCTGAAAACTTCAAGCTTTAGAGGAATAATACAATGACATTGTTTAAATTCTAAGCAAATTGACAGTTTGGAAATTCTCTTTTGCGAAGTCATTAGTTTCTAAGTACTCATCAATCATTTAAGGTTGTAATCAATGACAAATTAATGCTTACTCTCATAAGGACAAGTATAAAATTTAAATTCATTTATTCATTCATTCACAGCAAGTATGTCTCCAACTCAGTATTTATCAGAATATAAAATGTGTGTCTTCTTAAGCGTTAGATAGCTGAGTTGCACTGAGCTCAATTTCATCCACATATGAATTGCTGCAAAAAAATCAAACCAGTGGCCACATTTGTGATATTTCCAAATGAAGTGGATAATTTAGGGATATAAATAGTGGCCCTTTGTTTGGCAGTGACTAAGTGCAGGCACTGTCTTCTTGTCCATGAGTTTTCTAATTCCTCACAAATGTTAACAGAGCTGAGTAAAAATACCAATCCTATGTAAGAAGAAATCAAGGGTTATAAACATGAAGCAACTTGTCAGCCAGTATGTATTAGTGCCAGGATTCGAACCAGGTTCTCTCTGACCACAACATCTGTGCTTATACCTTAGGCTAGATTGCCATCCCTACGTAACTGGGATCACCAAATCTCTACTCTGGGCAAAGCAGTCATCATTCTAAAATAAGAATTTAAAAACCTGAAGAGACACTGTATAATAATTATTAGTGCATCACAATGGGAAATGGTAAAGAAAATTACAAAGGCTGATCAGAAAGTGATGCAATTCAAATATGCTAGGAAATAAGAAGCAATAATAAACAGAAGCAATCAAGAATATTCCAATGCTATGACGAAAACATTTGCTGTTGCCAATCAAATATCGAGGTATTCACAGCTTTCTAACATGTCACCCACCACAGTCTCATCCTCTATGTACACATATGTGCAACCTTGATCTATACCATTTGAAATTAGAGTCATTGAAAGTGAAAGTAAACAGTGTGCTCTGGAGCATCAAGGATCATGTAAAAAGCAGATGTGTTTCAACCCACCATTGAGCTATACTACCACCAGATTTTTTTTTTTAAGCTGATGAGAAAACTGTTTCAGTCTCTGGAGTTTAATGGTTACACTTGTGTGATACTGCAGTAGAATTAGGTCTGTCACATGCAACGATGTGAAACTTACATTTTGTGCATTAAAAAAAAAAAGAGAGACTTTAAGAGAGAGACTATTACAGTATCCTTTAGTTCCCCTAGGCATTAGCTCAAGGAATAAAATACACACCCCATTTATTCTCCTGAGGCACTCAGAGTACAGTAGGAGAAGCAGATAGCAAAGCAATTCCAACAGTGTTGTGTGATCTAGGAGGTGTTAAGAATGAGATGCTAATGCAGTACCTAGTTGATGCATTAATCCAGTGTGATAAAGGCTAGACCACAAAAAAATGTAACTAGAATGACAATGAAGGGACTGAGAAGCTGAATTTTGTAATTTGCTGATTATATGTGTTGGAGAGGAATAGGGAGCAGGCAGCAGCAGGTGTTTAAGTTGCCTAGATAGGCCAGAGGTAATATGGTGGAACCACCAATTAACACAGGGAAAGAGGAGCAAGAGCCATTTACAGAAGGTAAGGTGGAAGACTGATAAGTTATCAAAGTTGAGACACACTATATAGTCTAACTGGATATTCAAGGTGGGAGTTCAGAGCAAAATCTGAGATGGAAATGTGGAAGACAGGAACCGTCTCTCCTCAAACAAGTGTGTAAAGTGAAAAGCAAACAAGGCTGGGTGCTGAACCACAGGAATAATTAACTTTTAGTGGCAGCACAGAGGAAAGAGAGAGGAAGTTTCAAGGAGTAAGCAACAATTGCAAATGTTGCAGAAAAGTCAGCTGAGGGAAGCAGAGGTGCCCCCAACTTGTTTGGTTACTGGGAGGGCAGCAGACACCTCGGGGACACAGAAGCCAGGCTGTAATGAGCTGGGAAGCCAGAAAAGCAAGGTATGACAAGAGATAAGATAAAATAAACAACATTTAATTAAGATATGCTAATTTTTAATCAAATTTATAAATAAGTAGAAATTGTAAATAAGGTTCAGATATTAACCACAGATCCTCCAAAAATTTCAAAATTACCTGTTTCCCTTATATCATACTTTTCATGTCTTATTTTGATGGCTGGTAACCCTACCTAGGTCTGAAGAGAATCTAAGTTACACTTATAAGTTTAGGTGACAGATTACAAACTTTAGAATTAGAAAAGTTTAAGCTGTGATACCTTGTTTTTACTTTGAGACCAAAAAAAAAAAAATCTGTAAACCAGAGGCATGAATAAAAAATTTGTGGTTTATTTTTCTCCACTCTGTGTCACCTCATGAGGGGATCAGCACTTACCACAGCACAGCCTAATTAACTGTTGTCAAACAGAATTGAAGGTCAAATGGCTAATTAAAGATGGAGACATTACTAGAATCCAGATCTTTTGATCTGCCAGGTAATTTTCTTACAATGACAATTCAAAAGGTCATGTCTTACAACTGTAGTAAGCTCTGTAAAAACGTTATACTCAATATCACTAATTCTTAGGGAAATGTACATGGAAATTATGAGACACACTTTAAACTCACTAGAATGGCTATCAACAACAACAAAACAGAAAATGGCAAGTGTTGGCAAGACTCTAGAGAGATTGGAACCCTAGTGTGCTGTTGGTGGAAATGTAAAATGGTACAGCCGCTATGGAAAAATGATGTAGCAGTTCTTCAAGAAAATAACCATAGAATCATCACATAATCTAGCAATTCCACTTCTGGGTATCTGCCCAAAAGAAACGAAAGCAGGGACTTAAATAATTGTACACCGATGTTCCTAGCAGCACTATTTGCAATAGGCAAAAGAAGCAATTCAAGTGTCTACGAATGAACAAAATGCGATAAATACATACAACATATTATTATTCAGCCTTTAAGAAGAAGGAAATTCTGGCAATTGCTAGGACGTGGATGAACCTTGAGGACATTATGCTACGGGAAATAAGCCAGTCACAAATGGACAAATACTATAGGAGTCCTCTTATGGGAGCTACTTAAAGTAGTCAAATTCGTGGAGACAGAAAGTAGAATGATGGCTGTCAGGGGCAGAGGGAGAGGACAATGAGGAAACAGTGTTTAATGGACACAGTTTCAGTTACACAAAATGAAGAGTTCAGGAGACGGATGGAGGTGACAGTTGTGCAACAATATAAACATAACGTCACTGAACTGTATACTTAAAAATGATCATTGCAGCCAGGTGTGGTGGCTCACGCCTATAATCCCAGCACTTTGGGAGGCCGAGGCAGGTGGATCACCCGACGTCGGGAGTTCGACACCAGCCTGACTGACATGGAGAAACCCCGTCTCTACTAAAAATACAAAAATTAGCCAGGCGTGGTGGCGGGCACCTGTAATCCTAGCTACTCAGGAGGCCGAGGCAGGAGAATTGCTTGAACCCGGGAGGTGGAGGTTGCAGTGAGCTGAGATCGCGCCACTGCACTCCAGCCTGGGCAACAAGAGCGAAACTCCGTCTCAAAAAAAAAAAACAAAATGCGTATTAGGTTATGTGTATTTTAGGATGATTAAGAAAACATAAAAATGACAAAATTTATTAATTTTAAGCCAAGTTGGAATGAATGTACAGGTCTAGAAACTGACACATTTTAAGGAGATGAATTCGGTAAAGTAAAAAGATATATTTATTTGTCAGGGTCAAAATCCCAGGTGACCATGGGTCCTGTCCTCACTGTGGCTACGGCAGCTCTGCAGGAATGCAGCCTGACTCGCCTCACACTCAGATCTTTCAAGAGATGCTCTCAGCCCAAATGTTTATGTGAAATTACTACATTTTATACACTGCCAATCAAACAGAAGTCATGAAGTCAACCAAGGGCCACTCTTATCTAATCATCTTCCATAGTCATGCTACTTATGTCAGTATAGATATCAATGTATTGCTTCTCATTTAGATAAGACATTTTCTTAAACTTGACTATGAGGACATTTTCTGCTGCCTCTCACTCTATAAATACCCAACACCAATTCACATTTCATAACACAATGAAGACAGCTTTTTCCCAGAGCAGATAAATTCTGTACTAAAATTGTTGGGCTCTGCTGTCAATTTTCCTAGCTCCATCACACTGAACTCTATAAGTAGCATAAAAATCAAAATGTATTCTTTCAGGCCACATTTCTCTTAATGTTATGATTGTTCTCTGAGTGACTTCACCTTGCACAGCTCATGTCATTTCATATAACAGAGATAAAGACTGCTGTTCAGCTAATAGAAAAAAATAGATAACTCTCAGTCCCTGTAGTAAGGTATAAATTCATTTAGCTAAATTTTGTTTTCTAGGTAATTTCATGGTGTTAGCTCTTTGAGGAGCCAGGTGCTTTGCCTTAATGTGTTTTTAGATTTAGAGTATATTAGAGAAAATCCATACAAAAATCCAGTGTTCATAGGCTTCTATAGTAATCCTCAATACGTGCTCACGACATGAAATTTTAAATTACTCCATCAGCACAAGTGAAGGATAGAATCTCTTGCACAGTTTGCACAAGGTGACAACTGAGTTACTACAAACTATAAATGTTCTACAAGCCTAGGAAATGTAGCACAGAATGCATATTAAGTGATATATTTTTAGATACACACATACACCAGGAACAGAAATACGAGCCACTCATTTTCACTAATGCAGCCATTAAAAATGAATTCTCCAATGCTATGTAGTCACCTGGAAAATAATTTATGGTATAATTTTAAGTGAAAAACACAAACTACAAAATTCTACCAAAACTATGTTTATGGCTCTGTGAAGTGATGTACAAGTATGGCTTAAGTTGGGGAAAAAAAAAATGAAAAAATCACTGATGGCTGATTTTTTCCAAAGGCAGATAATATGTGCTTTTTTTTTCTTTTACTATTGACATAATGTTTTGTAATAAGCGAATGTAAAAATAAAAGTAATGTTTGCAGTGACATTTTGTATGTGTGCTTTCAGACAACAGAAAGAAAAAGTTTAATCAAAAACAGTCTTGGATGACAACTAGGTTTCTGGTGACCAGCTCAGATCAACTCATGACAGCTACCTGAAGAGCTGTTATTAAAAAAAAGATTCTGGCCAGGCACGGTGGCTCATGCCTGTAATCCCAGCACTTTGGGAGGCTGAGGTGGGTGGATCACGAGGTCAGGAGATCGAGACCATACTGGCTAACACAGTGAAACCCCGTCTCTACTAAAAATACAAAAAATTAGCTGGGCGTGGTGGCGGGTGCCTGTAGTCCCAGCTACTCAAGAGGCTGAGGCAGGAGAATGGCGTGAACCCAGGAGGCGGAGGTTGCAGTGAGCTGAGATCGCGCCACTGCACTCCAGCCTGGGTGACAGAGTGAGACTCCGTCTCAAAAAAAAAAAAAAAGATTCTGAGACTCAGTGGGAAATATGATGTCATTCACTTGAACATCTGCCTTGGGCTTTGGAAAGGGGAGCAATGGCTCTAGGCTGGTATTACCATCTCCATCTCAGCACAAATATCAGAACCATAGATCCTATAGAAGGACCAGAAATATCCTACAACTTTCTTTAAGACAATTCAAGAGGCCATGCTAACTCCAGATATGGCACAGCTAATTAGTTCTTATTCAACAGCCAATACAGGAAAGTCCACATATAGTTTTAGAATATTCTAAATAACACAGGGCTATGTAAAATAAATGAAACCACTTCACATGGTACAGGCATATTACGGAAAATCAAGACAGATATCTATCCCAGATTCTTAACTCCTACTTATGTGTAATAAAATATTATCATGTTTGTCATCTCTGCACAGAACAGAAGCTCCAGAGAGAGAACAATCAGTACAGGCATCTATCTGCACAACACAAGCGCTTCAATAGCATTTAAGCTCGAGTTTAACATTTAATTTAGTAAATTTCTGCTTTTCTATAAAGGTATAATTCTGTATTACCATTCCTTCTGACTCTCAGGACCCAAAGCATACTGTTCCATATTGAGTTAATCAACAAAAAGCACAGAGAACCTGTGTAAGCCACCGTGGCAGGGTTTACACCACTGGGTAAGTTTCCACGGACTGAGCAGGAAGGGTTCTTGATTAAGACACTTGCACCTTTGCAAAGCCTCACTGTCTGTTTTGGCTCATTGTTCACCAAACAATTCAAATTTCGTAAATCATATAAAAATCCAGTGTTGAAAAGATTTAGACTTAAAGTAGAGGAAGCTCTAATTTCCAATAAGTATCTTGACACAAGCGGGCAGAATCTTGACAGCCTGAGAATGACAGGACAGTGTGGCATTTACAGAGAGCTAAAAGCAACAAGCGAAAGAACATATTTTAAGCGTCAAAGGAAAGTTAAAGCAAGCCTGGCCAAAGCTCTAGGCTTACCTGACTGGCCAATGTAATTGGAAAGTAAACACAGAAGGAGCTCTCATTGGGAGCAAAGTTCAGCCAACTTGGTTTGTGTGAAGAAAGGTAGGATCTACTGAGCCACAGTCACGTCCTTGCCTGGAAGAGGCCCATTATTTCGAGATGGTTCAGTTCTACTTGGTGGAAGGGTAATGCCTGTGTGAAGTATAACACTAGAAACCTCGCATAAGGAGAAAATGGGTGCATCAAACACTTGGGGTGCAAGTGTAGGGATTTTGTTTCCTTATTCAAGGCTGTTATTAGTTACATAATGTGACCTTTGCACAGATCAAAAACCTGGCTCTTTCAGGTCCCACATCAGGAATCACCTCCTTAACAAGTTCTACCCCAAGCCTAACTCTAATCCTGACCTTCTAGTGTGAAGCAGTACCTCCATGTCATAATCTCATCACACCTCACATTCTTGATGGCCCTAAGGATCCAACATTATCTTGTTAGTTTATTTACTTAATCTCCTAATCTACTCCTCAATACCACCCTGCAATACTGTAAGTGCCCTGAGGGGAAGAGACTGGATTTTCCCAGTCCACATCAATACCTGGCACATTACAGATAAGTTTTGATGGAACAAACAAATGAATGAATTCAGAAGAGGATTCGTTTTATTAACATCATGACTGAATATTTACTAGAAATCCAAGCCTGCCTAGAGACTAGTGGAGTTCATCAACCTAAAGAGCTTCATAACTGTTAAGCTTTTTGGAAAAACATGTTGTGTAATACATATTTATTGCTCTATGATAAGGTACAGGGCAGCTTTTTACAGAGGCATTAAATTAGTAATGATCATCAGTCTTACTGATTGAAGGTCAGGGAGTAAACTATGGTGAGGATGCGCCCGTTTTATCTGCTTGGACATCCCATCTGGTTTTTCCCAATCATTTCGTAATGAAATGACCCACTCCTCTTAACATCTCTACAAAATCACCATCAACAGGTTGACAATGAAGCCCCTGAACTCCACAACAGAGTAAGGCCCACATAAGTGATCTCAGACACTATCAACCAAGAATTGAAGGATCCTAGAACTGGCATGGATCCTAAAGCCCAGCTCTCTGTCCCCTCTTTCCATTAACATTTGGATCTTAATAGGCAGAAATCCTTTACAATCCTGAGGATCCTGGAGACAGCTGGAATTCCCCAGCATGTTGGGGACTAAGAAAGGGCAGCAGGTGAGGCACCCAGGAAGCACTCATGAGGAGCTGACTGATGTGCATCCAATGCCCTCTGAACTGATCCAAATGTCTCAATCAAAGGAGAAAAAGCTGCCACAGATGAATTAAAAGGAATCACATGCACTCACGCGCACACACACGCACACACCTCCTAAGCCCTTTTTTGGCCTGTGAATCTACAAAGGTTTTTAAATATAAATTAATAAACTCTTCCTACACTCATGTGAAGCATGATTTAATGAATATATTTCTCAACCTGTCTGGGATGCATTAACATGACATTTGCCCAGATCATGGGAGTTTGTCTTAAAATACTCAAAGGAGTTACTATCAAAGATGGCAGTCAGCACTCATTAGTATTTATAAGGCATTCCATTACAGTAGCATCTCTCAAATGAAAAGGTAAAGAACACTTATCAATATTAAAACCATCATCTTTTAAAAAGGTTAAATCGATTTTTCTCCACCACTTGGATTCCATCAATGCCAGTGTCAGCGCAATGAAGTGGACATTATCATGTGACAGCTTAAATTGATAATTCCCAAATGAACTTTCCCTAGTTTTCTATCATTTCTCAGTCTGTGGATTTTGCAACCCATTTCATAGAGCCTCGGCTAGAACAAAGGCTTAGAATGATTAAAAACATCCAAATCAATCTTCCCACTGAGCTAAAATACTGCAAATGAGTTTTTAAATATGAAGCAATTATTAGGTTCTATTAAGGGAGGTAAACATGACACATTATATGGCATTAAAGTTAAATGAGTCTCTCCACCATCAATATTTCCAAACAACAAGAGCATCAGCCACTGCAGCTACTCCTTAAGGGGAGGCTATGGTGCTTCAGGTATCAGGTACTAAGCACTTTAGAAATACTATCCTATAATCCTCATAACTCTATAAGGTAGGTACTATTAGACGACTCATTCACTGACGAATAAACTGAGGCACAGAAAGCTTAAGTAACTTTCCCAGTGACACACAATTACTACATAGTAGAGCTGAGATTCAGGACCATTGGCTCAGCTCCAAATACTTGACCTTTAAGCCACCTGTCCTTCAGTCTCTGACACCTCATTTCCTGTAGGTGACGGTTTCAGTGTCCATTCCTAATATGTGTAGCATTGCAAAGGGTCCTTCAGCAAAGTTCCAAGAGGCTACACAATGTGAGAGGAACAGAGATAAAAGTGACGACCTCTCCCCAAGCCTTTGCCAGTCCCTCCCATTCTTCCAGACTCAAGTCACATTTTTCCTCCCCACTCTCAGCCTACACAGACCTCATCTGCCTTTAAAATCCTCTCTGCTCCGAAGAGGTTACCACTAATAATCTTTTCATGAAGATGAAGCTTGACACTCCAGGGAGACAAGTTTTTTGAAACTAGAAAACATTTCCATTTTCTCTATTGCCCTGTTTAAACGTGAAATCATAGCTGATCAATATTTTTGGCTGGGGGGGGAGCAATCAGAAATGTAGGTATGTGCTCCAATGAAGCCATTGACTAGGTTTCACCTTCCAAAGCCTTCAAAGGTACTCTTTTGTCTATATAGATATATATATATATATATACACACACACACACATATATTTATATATGTATACACATACATATGTATATACACATTTACATATACATATGTATATGTATAAGTATATGTATATATACATGTACATATGTATATGTCTATATACGTATATGTACATATACGTATATATACATATATGTATACATATATAAATATATACATGTATGTATATAAATATATACATATATGTATACATATATAAATACATACATGTATGTATATATACATATATGTATATAAATACATATACATATATGTGTATATATAAATATATACACACATGTATATAAATATATACACACATGTATATAAATACATATACATATGTATGTAAATATATATACATATGTATGTAAATATCTACACATATGTATGTAAATATATGTACATATATGTATATAAATATATACATATGTGTATATACGTATATACACATATGTATATATACATATGTGTATATATACATACATATGTATATATACACATATGTATAAATATATACATACATATGTGTGTATAAATCTATACATGTGTATAAATATACAAACATGTGTGTATAAATATATACACATGTGTATACATATACATATATAAACATAGGTACATATGTATGTGTATACATATACGTAAACAGGTACATATGTATGTGTATACATATACGTATATAAACATAGGTGCATATGTATGTGTATACATATACGTATATAAACAGGTGCATATGTATGTGTATACATATACGTATATAAACAGGTGCATATGTATGTGTATACATATACGTATATAAACATAGGTGCATATGTATGTGTATACATATACGTATATAAACATAGGTGCATATGTATGTGTATACATATACGTATATAAACATAGGTGCATATGTGTATACATATACGTATATAAACATACGTGCATATGTATGTGTATACATATACGAATATAAACATAGGTGCATATGTATGTGTATACATATACGAATATAAACATAGGTGCATATGTATGTGTATACATATACGTATATAAACATAGGTGGATATGTATGTGTATACATATACGTTTATAAACATAGGTGCATATGTATGTGTATACATATACGTATATAAACATAGGTGCATATGTATGTGTATACATATACGTATATAAACATAGGTGCATATGTATGTGTATACATATACGAATATAAATATAGGTGCATATGTATGTGTATACATATACGTATATAAACATAGGTGCATATGTATGTGTATACATATACGTATATAAACATAGGTGCATATGTATGTGTATACATATACGAATATAAATATACATATTTATGTGTATACATATACGTATATATACATATGTATGTGTATACGTATACGTGTATATATACATGTGTATACATATGTGTATATAAATATATACACATATGTATGTGTATATATGTGTGTATATAAATATATACACATATGTGTATACACGTGTATATAAATATATACACATATGTATGTGTATACACGTGTATATAAACATATACACATACGTATGTGTATACACGTGTATATAAACATATACACATATGCATGTGTATACATGTGTATATAAACATATACACATATGTATGTGTATACATATGTGTGCATAAATATATACACATATGTATGTGTATACATATGTGTGCAATATATACACATACGTATGTGTATACATATGTGTGCATAAATATATACACATATGTATGTGTATACATATGTGTGTGTAAATATATACACATATATGTATGTGTACACATATGTGTAAATATATACACATATGTATGTGTATACATATATGTGTACATAAATATATACACATATGTATGTGTATACATATATGTGTACATAAATATATACATATGTGTATACATATATGTATATACGCATATGTGTATATACATATATATGTTCATAAATATATACACATATGCATGTGTATACATATATGTATACACATATGTATGTGTATACATATATGTGTATATACGCATATGTATGTGTATACATATATGTGTATATATACGCATATGTGTATACATATATATGTATATACGCATATGCGTATATACACATATGCGTGTATACATACATATACAAATATACGCATACGTATGTATGTACATACGCATATACGCATACGTATGCACGCATACGTATGTGTGTACATACGCATATACGCATACATATGTACGCATACGTATGTGTGTACATACGCATATACGCATACGCATGTACGCATACGTATGTATGTACATACGCATATACGCATACGTATGTATGTACATACGCATATACGCATACGTATGTATGTACATACGCATATACGCATACGTATGTATGTACATACGCATATACGCATACGTATGTACGCATACGTATGTATGTATATATGCATATACGCATACGTATGTACGCATACGTATGTATGTATATACGCATATACGCATGTGTATGTACGCATACGTATGTATATACGTATATACGCATACGTATATACGCATACGTACATACGTACGTATGTATATACACACACGTATATAAATATATCCACACCCGTAGATACATATATACACACCCGTAGATACACATATACACGTATATGTGTAGATACACATATACACGTGTATGTGTAGATACACATATACACGTGTATGTGTAGATACACATATACACGTGTATGTGTAGATACACATATACACGTGTATGTGTAGATACACATATACACGTGTATATGTGTATCTACATATACACGTGTATATGTGTACGTGTATATGTGTATACATATATATACATATATTTAGGAAACACTGTCAGCTAACCCCAGAAGTGGCCAGGCTTTCATCAAATCATACGGTAACTACCAAGAAACCACTAAACCCAATACTGCCAATAGGATATGTGCATGTGCAATACTCGCTTTCTGACCTCAAAACTTAGTTAAAAATGCAAAAGGGAAAAACATCTTTAAAATGAAAATAAAAATCTAAAGTTTAAAAAAAAACTTTCAGTGTCTAGTGTCTCATCTCTAAAAATAACAGCCTCAAGTTGGGTAAATAGACTAGATTTTTAAAATTGTTACTGGCCCAAAAATGTGCCTCTTGTTTCTTTTAATACTGTAATTTAGTATCAGATCCTACCATGCTTTCTCATCCTTATCCTGGTTAGAAGGCAATGTAGAAAAAAACCTCAGCAGTGCACAGATGCCTGATCTCTGAGAAAGCTGACATAACAGCGTAGGCAGGCACTTACCCAAACCTCTGTAGGTTTGCTTATTACGAAGAATCCAGACTCCCTCTTTTCCTTGAATAATAGACATTTATGAAGTATCTGTTATGTGCAAGGCAGTCTACATGTATTCTTACTAATATCCACAGGCATCTCAAAGTATTTTCATCTCCATTTTACAAATGAGAAAACTGAGTTCCAGAGATGTCAACGTCCCACAGCTAATATATGGCAGAACTGATAGTTGAGCTGGGGTTTGTCTGAATTCAAAACCCAGTCTTTCCCCAGTAACAAGGTGGTTTGAGGGAGCCATAGCATAGGCCTTCATTACTTGCTCACTGGAGTAGAAACGTTTTAAGTGGTTCCATTCTGCACCTACCTCATCAGAAGTGGCCTACAGGAACTCTTGCTGAATGGAGAGAATAATTTGGAACCTTTTCTCTCCTTAATCATTTCAACAACCATACAGAGTAGTGCTAATTCTCCTGATCTCAAAGAAACTAATAAAATCTAATAATAAATGCCAGACTTTTAAAAAACTATGAAATATTAAACAAATTCAAAGTCTCTTTAATATTCTGAGGTCCAAGGATAATTTAAATGACATTTTAAAGACAAAAATAAAAAGCCCTATTATCTCACCACTGAATTAAACCTGGTAACTTTTTTTTTTTAAAGTGGGTATGCCTTAGGAAACTGTAATTGTGCCTAGAGGCACAGGATAAAAAGTGACTTAGCTCAAACTAGACCATCTCCACAAAGGAACCACTAGTAAGTTTCTAGCACTCATTTCCAGAAAAAAAATATATATATCTGCATTCATACATCAGCACATAATATTGTTCTATACTATTCTATCCTATGCTTAATCACATACTTTAAAAAGCAACAATAATACAAATGCCTTGTAAGTACTAAGTCAGTCAGCTCTGACCCACAGCCACCAGCAAAAAGATATCGACAGGCAAGACCTGGTTTTCCGACTGGCCAGATTTAGGATATTACTACAAACCATGGAAACGACCAAAATTGCACAAACAAGACATCCAGAATTGGTCAGCAAAATTTGCATTAGAAAATAGTTTAAACAAAAATACAAAATTACCATTCATAACCTATAGTAAAATGGCTTCTTATTGGAATGAATATTAAACAACACCGATGAGTGTTCTCAAAAGCAGATGAGGCTGTGCCCGGCACATCAGATTGTAGGGTTCAAGGGAGTATTAGTTACATTCTTCCACTACTTTCCCCTGCCATTTACACCAGCCTCTGCATTTGCTCTCACATCCTAGAAAGCCACCGACTCTACATGAAACTAAAGGATCCCTAGGAGATATCTCAGAAGCTCTGCTGGGGATAAGTGGAGTATTCAGAGAAGTAACCCCAGCTTCTCGAAGACCACGATAACCAAAACATCCACCGTGTCTGTATACTCTGGATCTTGAAAAGATCTTATTTGATAAGTGTGTCTTAATGCTAATAATAGATACACACCAAAAAAAGTACCTTGATCTAATCAATAGCACCACAAGAATTTTCCTGGGTTTTGAAATGCCAACATCTGTATATATTTAAAAGGTTACAATCATTCAAAAACATAAAAACACAATGAAGTTGTTCTCACATGAACACTTAGGAATTAAGTGTAGTAATATTTAGATGTGATTGCTAGCTTCGTTACACAAATCTAACAATCCTGTTTACAGCATCACTTGGATCAGATAAAGGATAGAGACTTTTCCAGATTACCCAGCTTCATATATACACAGTCATCTGGCAGGAAATTGCTCTTAAATGACATATTTATCAAGACCATGCTGCGTTTATCTTCACAACAGGGTTTAGCAAGATTCCAGGTCTACATGGATGTGGTTTTAAGGCCTCCCCTGTCATGAAGGATTTCACCTTTGCATTGAGCCTGAGAATGCACAGAACAGCTACTTCCAAACTCAGGAGGTAGAGGAATTTCTGAAATCTTAGTTGGAATGGGTCTTGAAACCCCTCAAGTCTTGGGGTGAAATAATTTCCCTGGGATGCAAAACAGAGTGCAGTGATTGAAATGGTTGAAACAGCACTAGCTTGAAATCAAATAACAGGGGTAGAAAGTAAAAAAAGACATAGGCCAGATTTCCAACCCAGTTGGGTGACCTTGTGCAAGTTCTAGGTTTCACTGAGTCTCAGTGTTCCCTTCAATAAAATGGAGATGATTCCTATCTAATAGGGTTCCTAAGAGGATTAGCATGACTAAGATAATGCTACCACTGAGTAGAGACTCCGAAATATCAGGTAGCTAGTACACAAAATAAAATATACAGCAGCTAAATCTGTGTGTCCTGTAAACTAGGAAAAGCAAAAACTTCTACTTAAAAAACAAAACAAACAAAAAAAAAACTACCAATGAAAAGGCACAGCCTGACAACTGAACACCAAAACTAAACAATAAAATAATAATTCTGGATCTTGGGCTCATAGTGACAATGCTTGAAACTGACACGTGGCTTTGGAAAGGAAATTGGAGAGGAAGTAGTTAATAAAAGGACCAAATACCAGTCTGTTATTACTGATCAGGGCCACACCTATCTGATCAAACATAATTTGGGGGCACATAAATAGTTCATGACATTTAAAAACAATTCATCAGATACTTTCCAAGCCCCACCGTGTCTTTTGGTTCAAATATTAACAGAGAAAACTTCCCCAGAACCTTCTTTCTCATTCTTTGCCAAAGCTACATGTCTCTGTGCCAACTCACATGAGGCTTAAGGGAGTGAAAGAAATGTCAGATAAATTCTACCTGTTTAGACAGGCCTAAAATGCTGAAGGCAACTTCCGCCAAGGATTCCTACAGAATTCAAAACATAGCACAGTGTCAGAAAAAGTAGGAGATAAGGAAGACAGGGGAGGGAGCTCATGTAAGTAAAGACTTAAAGGAGATGGAGATAATTATTTACTGGGCCTGTTCCAACAACAAACAAGAAGTCTTCAAGTGAAGCATTGTCGCTGTAGGACAAGGAACTCAGGACAGATTCTACCCAACAGATGTTGTCACCAATTGACCCAGTGAAAATAATAATTGAGCCTGCAGCACTCCTGAGCCCCAGATTATTCATGAAGGGGCAACTGGAGGTGGAACAGCTGATCCCAAAGGTCATTTCCAGACTATAAACCGAAGAAGCTAAGCATATCTATATACATATCTTTTACGTTAAGCAAGATTATCATAGCAATAATGGTTATTGTAGTCCAAGAAATATAATGTTATTTTTTGATATATTACCCAAGTTCTCAGGCTAAATCCAAACATGCTTCATAATGCTAAAAGTAGTTCCCCAACCACCACCTTAAAAAAAGTAAGCATTACCCAATCATTTTTGTTTTTGATTTTGGTATTTTTGTTTTTAATTTGGGTGTTTTTGTTTTTAGTTTTTCTTTTCTTTTTTTTTTTTTTTCACGGTCAACTCCATTGTATCTTGGATTCTTCAAAACCCTTCACAGAACATGGGCGTGGTCACACAGATAGGTTTAATGCTTCCTTTTTAGTTTTCCCCATCAGTTAGCAGACCTCTCATGAATATTCCCACTTATTAATAACTTGTCATTAACAAAGCTTAAACAGACTAGCCTAGGCTTTCAGTTCCTCAAAAGCATCCATCCACTGATTTCTCAAAACACTCCCTCTGTGCTTCTCCATCTCCTTCCTGCCAGGCCTAGGTGGCACTTTGGATGTGGCCCTCACCACCTGCTCTCATAGCACCCTGTCCCTCACCCTTAACGAACAGCACGCTTCATTGTAATCACTTGTGAAACTGTCTGGTTTCCCCTCTCAACTGTAAGCTCTGAGAGGATGAGGATCTATTTGTTTTATTCACAACTAAAATTTCAGCACATAACATGTATAGCACATGCTCAGTGAATAGTTTTTGGATAAAAGAACTTTTTTTTTTCTCCTAGCTACTTTTTAGCAGTTTTAAAAAAGCCTTCTACTTGGAGCACCTAAGAAAACCTATCTATTCTATATAAAAATTAATATTCTAACAGCTACTCCAAAGCAGCACTGGCCAATCTACACAATATACAAAATGATATGATTCATTTATGATTCATACGATATACATTAATTTAAAATGTGTGTTTTTATAACAGAAAATAACAAGAGGATATATGATAAACGTTTTACCTCATAAAAATTATATGGGCTCAAATTCTGAACACTAGCTTTCAACAACCTCCTTGTTCACTCCTCACTCTACTATGTCAACAAAAAAGAGTCAAACTCTGTAAAATATTTTAAGAGATTTATTCCGAGCCAAATATGAGTGACCATGGCCCGTGACTCAGCCCTCAGGAGGTCCTGAGAACATGTGCCCAAGGTGGTCAGGGTGCAGCTTGATTTTATACATTTTAGAGAGGCATGACACATCAATGAAATACGTTCAAGAAATACATTGGTTTGGTTCAAAAAGGCGTGACAACTCAAAGTGCGCGGGGCGGGGGGTGGCTTCCAGGCTATAGATAAATGTAAACATTTTCTGATTGACAATTGGTTGAGTTTGTCTAAAGACCTGGGATCAATAGAAAGGAAATGTTCAGGTTAAGATAAAAAATTGTGGAGAGCAAGGTTCTCTGAAGTCTTACAGTGGCTGCCCTTAGAGATGACAGATGACAAATGTTTCCTATTCAGACCTTAAAAGGTGCTAGACTCTTAATCTCTTCAGGATAGGGAGGGCCTGGAAGAAAAAGATCTAGCTTTAATAGAGATTCTTTACAGATGCACATGTGACCCCACAAAGGACAGCTTTGCAGGACCATTTCAAAATATGGCAAAGAAACATACTTTTGGGGTAAAATATTTCCACTTTCTTCTTTGTCAGGTAATGTTATGCCAGAGTCAGATTGGAAAGTAAGTCATGATATACAGGGTTAAATGAAACCCATTTGATAAGAATTTATAGTTTGTAGGGCATGAGTCCCCAGACCCCTTAGATAAGAATTTGGGCAGCATAAAAAAAAAAAAAAATCCGAGTTTAGTCCTGTCCTCAACTGCTTTCAATGGCCCTTGTTTGCTTTTCCACATTGAGGACGTCCTTCCACCTCCACCTCTCAAATATGGCTCTCAAATATCTCAAAGGCCAAAGAGAGTGGAGGATTCATCTCCACTCGCTGAAGAATGAGTTCAGTTGATTGAATTATTCAGTTGTTACAGCAACTGCATTATTCAATCAGTTGATATTTAGTCAATTATTCAATTACCATCCAAAGACCAGTTCTTTCAAATCTCTACATTGCCAACCTCTTTCCTGGAGTGCAGACCTTTATCCTATCCAATTATCCACCTAACATCTCTACCTTGGGGTCATCCAAACATCTCAGACTCAGTGTCCATGAAGGTCATAATTCTCTGAAAAGAGGCTTCTCCTCCTCCAATACTGACTTATGTTACTGGCACCAAGCCAGCAGCCCAAGGCTCAAACCTGATCCACAGGCCCAGCACCTCCCTCTCTCTCATCACCCACCTCCACCTGGTCACCTGTGTAATCTTCCTAGTTATCTCTCAAATCCTGCCGCACCTCCACTTCCCTAAGGCCTTAATCAAGCCCAATAACCTACCTCCCTCCTGATCTACAATAACTTATGAGCGCCTTTCCTGCTGACTCACTGCCAGAGGGAGGGCATCTATTCTGTTCTCCCATAACATTGCACTACAAGGACTTCTATTCCGGTCCATGGGGATCATGTCTGTTTTGGTCACACTGTATCTCTTCTGGTGCCTAACATAATATTTAGCACAACTAGGCAGGCAACCAGTGACCACATGAATGAATGAACGCATGCATAGATGACACAGCTGGCATTCTCAGAATTAGATTCTGCTGCCTACCATAAACTCAAATTAATGTTTGTGTAAACATTTTTTTCTAGAGGGGAAGTAAAGGCACAGCAACCTTAGGTTTATACCCGAGAGCAAACCATCACTCTACGCACTCGCACACATATCCATGTCACTATCTGTACATTCTTACTCACGCTGCTTGACACCATGGGGCTATTTCGTAAAAAAAAAAAAAAAAAAAAAAAAAAAAGAAAAAAAAGAAAGGATTGAATCATAGGCAACTTTTTATTTTTTTACCAGAAAAAAAAAATGTAATAGGACAAGGCACAGCTCTTCTGAATATCTTCCAAAATGTAATGAACAAACACAGCATCACCTTCAAATCCTCTGTGGCCTGGGGAGGTGCTTGGCCTCTAGAAGAGAGGCCTCTAATAATCAGATCAAATCCCAGCATTCCTAAACAAGGAAACAAGGCCACCTTCCATAATCACCAACATCACTCCCCGCTGGGTAATCCATAGGAGCCCTTAATCATGACGCTATGGGAAATGGTATTTGCATGTGATGTAATCATTTATATGGAATCATGTCTATTCACTCATGAAATTTTAAAAGTCTGCATCAGGAGTAAATGACAATGAAGTTCTTCCTTCCTAGTTTGGAAATTTGTCTCTAATGAAAAATTTCTTAACCACAGTAGTCAGCAAATGACTACGATTGTTAAACAGGCACATCCCAAGCAATCCCAGGCCTGCCTCTTGGCCAATGCCAACACATAACAGTGGCATCGATGAAAACTCTCCCAGGCAAGATAAAAGAGGAAGGTTCTAAAACCAGACAGCCTGTGCTTGAATCCCGGCTGAACCACTTTCCAGCTGTGTGACTACGGACAATTTCCTATTTCTCTTTCAGTTTTCTCACATTTAAATCCAGTTGATCATAGCCCTGCGTTACCCAGGGTTTGTACCGAAGATTAAGAGTTAATATTTCTTAGCAAAATGCCTGGCACAACCTGAGAGCTCAATAAATGTTAGTGATAGTAATACAAATTATCATATTACAACACTAATATATTACTATTATTATTAATTTCAGTTCCCTCCCAGTGATCTCCATAAGGGATTCCATGCCCTATCTGTTCTCTTAAATATTAAGACCAGTGGTTTTCAGATTTTAGCATGCACCAGAATCATCCGGAGGGCTTCTTAAAGCACAGATTACTGTGCTCTAGACGCAGAGCTCCTAATGCGGGGTGCCTGAGAACGTGCATTTCTAACAAGTTAATCTCAGGTACGTAGGTGCTGCCGGACTCGAAGAACATCAGTGGAGGAGAATGAATGAGTCTAAACCACCAGGGATTTTTTTTTTTTTTTGAGACGGAGTTTCGCTCTTGTCTCCCAGGCTGGAATGCAATGGTGCAATCTTGGCTCACTGCTGCAACCTCCGCCTCCCAAGTTCAAGCCATTCTCCTACCTCAGCCTCCCAATTACCTAGGATTATAGGCACTGCCACCACACCGGACTAATTTTTGTACTTTTAGTAGAGATGGGATTTCGCCATATTGGCCAGGCCGGTCTCGAACTCCTGACCTCAGGTGATCCACCCAACTCGGCCTCCCAAAGTGCTGGGATTACAGGCGTGAGCCACTGTGCCCGACCACCACCAGGGCTTTTAATGGCTCTCTGCTCACTTAGAATGACCCTCCTGGACTCCATCAGAGTAACTCCAAACTCAGCTCAAGCCATCAGGAACCCTCCAAGGCCCCTGTGGCATCTCTATGCAAGCCTATAACAAAGCACTGTGATCAATGAAATCAGCTCCATGAGACTGGGAGTTCTTGACAATCAGGACTTCGCCTTACTCAGGACTTGGGACATTAGAAAACTCCCAATAAATGGTGACTGATAGTTGGAAAAGCCAATGGCCAAAGGCATCCCTGAGAAACAAACCAACCTGGAAAGTCTTGAAGACCAGCTCTCAGAATTGTTCGTTGGACATGAGTGTCCAGAGTGTCTCTGCTGTCCCATCCAGCAGTCTCTTCTCTGCTCAGTGGAGCATGAGTCCTTTGCCTTTAACCACAACTTTCCCTCTCACTCTTTGAGGGTAACAGAGCTTCAACTTTGGGCTTCTCACTAGCAGGGCCCCCCGTGGGTGTGACAAGCTGCTGGGAAATGCTGAGTGTTCTCAGGGAGAGGGGAAGCCGGATTGCAATCAGCACTCCTGTTTTTGTAAGCATTTCTGGTAAATTGCCCAAGATCTCCACAGAAACAGGCAGAAATCTCCAGTAAATTATCATCTCTTTTTCTCATTTTAAATACATATTCACTTTCACACCTAATTTTGTATTAATTTTCTTAAAGAGAGTCTCCAAATTGTTTACCTTTTAGGCCTCACAAAACTTGGAACTGCCCCTGCTTCATATCCCCTACATACTCTCCTCCTTCATCACCCACCCTGGTTCCCCATGAGAACACCTTACCAGGTCAGGCACACTTTTATAAACACCTTCTAGGAAGGACTTAACAGCTCAGCTCCTAAAGAGGAGTTTAAGGTGTCTGGCTGTTTCACCTCCACGTGAAGATAGAGGGAAAAAAAAAATCTGTGCCAAGATTGACGCAGGCAAAATATTCTACCTGATCCTCGCTTCACGGGCAAAGCCTTTTCTCAACAGTTAACTGGCAACAATTCAAGGTAATTTAAATATAAAACCCCTTCCATTTCTGTGTGTAATTACCAACAATTACAAGAAAAGTTTTAAGAAAGCAAGTGTTTTCCACAACAAGAAATATTATTTGAATTCAGAGTACTATTTTTCACTCACTTTCCATTCTCCACAGTATAATAATTTTAATTTGAAAATTACTTTCCTGGTTTACATGCACTTAAAGAAATTGTCAGTTGTTATAAATCCTTTATGCAAAAGTCAAATAAGGAACTTGATTCCTCGCCAGATCATCACATTGCAGTACTCTACAATTTCCAGAAGTAGTACTTCTGGAAATAGGTTTAAGGAAAAATATATATTCGTGTGTGAGCACAGGTTTACACAAACACAAAGTCCTTTCCAGGTGACAAGAGACCGCTAATCATCTTGCAGCTGTAAGAAATCAAGCTGAAATTGATTTCAAAGCCCACTCAGCTGAGAAACTCACCTCTGCAGGAGGAGACCATAGTAAAGCACACCAATAATAGGAAATTAGCTGTTCCTTCCATGTATAACACAGAGAGAATATATATGCAATTTTATTAATTGGCCCTGTTTGGATATATCAGGCCTTTCAAAATATGTTAAGAGACATAATAAATTTTATCTTTTAACATATTTTGAAAGGCCTTTCAAAATATGTTAAGACACATAATAAATTTTATCTTTTAAAGCTACATCTACTAGTCACAGATAGGTCACAGCTTGACCACACAAGTGCAATGAAAACAGTGCTCACTTCATTCCTGAGGACTACTTTAACTCCATTAATCCCCAGGAGATAGGATCTATGAATATAAATTTGAATTCTTATATTAAATCTGCCGGATTTACACTCTCCATCTTAGAGACAGCATGGAATAGTGAAAAAGTACGAGTTCTGCACTCAGAAATAGCCACATGCAATTTCTAAATTCACCACTGACCTTGTACAAATTACTGGACTCCTCTCTGCCTCAGTTCCTTATCTGCACAGGGGAATAGTATCTACTTTGTAGATTTCATAGACAAGACAAAGTGCCTAGCATGGTGCTTGGCACAGAGCTAATTCTTAATAATCTTATTTTAAGCATGGTTTTGACAATTTTTATTGCTTTGGAATGACTGATCAGGCTAATGACAGAGACTCTTCAAAGATTTACATTCTCCCTGCATTTAAATACTTATAACCAGCGATTACACAGGTGCTGCTGAGGCAAAGCGCAGCACCATTGGTCTCGTTCTAAACACCCACCTGTGAGGAATAAGTGCCTTAAGATTCCCCTTTGTATTAATATCAACACCTGTGCTACCCAACAGCACACCAGCCCGGCTCTCAGAGGTCTGCCCGTTAACAGGTGTACAATAAATATTTGTTGAATTGAAATGCTACTGACTCAAGCAAAAAATGAATGCTAATGTAAATTATAATCCATACAAATCCTTCAATAAGTGGTGTCTGAATTCTGTGCGTCCTGAAGCAAGTGTTCTAACGTCTCACGGTTCACTGAGAAGCTGCTTGGTACCTTAAGGGTTCGCACCCTTGTACCTTCCAGACCAAGCTCTTGTAAGCATCTAGAGGAGGCTGAAACCCTCAGTCAGCATCGCACAGAAGTTCATTCAGACTAGAGAAAACCTCTTTTATGGCAACCCAATCATTTAAAAAAAGCCGTCAGCACATTTGCTTAACAAATGGACAGTGCAGGAGGGAACTAATTGCGGAAACTAATCGCCACTCAAGTTCACCACCAACATCACTGTCTTTATTTTTAACTTACTTATCTTCAGTGGGATTGAGACACTGTTTGTTACCTACGCAATTATCCCAAGGATTTCTGCTCCGGTGTCGTTGAGCAAATGTCAGCGCAAAGAATTAAAGTTGAACCTCCGGGTCTCTACGAAGAGAGCGTATTAAAGCCCACCCAGCTGAGGAACTGACCTCTGTGGAAGGAGTCCTGGATGTGGCGGTGACTACCTCCGTAGCGCCCCGGGGAGACTGAATGTGTGGCCTTTAAAATGCAAAGAAATTCTGGGCCAGGCTGCCCTCCCCTAGTGCGCCTTCCAGTACGCCACGCCTGGATTTCTGCCTCCAGTCCTCAGGACACCTTTCTGATCTCTGAACCACAAGCAGCTCCGGGGTAGTAGCGCCACTGAATTCTCATCCTGGACCCTCCAGCTCCCCAACTCCCAGCTTCGGTTGAGAGAAGACGCCCACCCCCAGGCGGCGACCGTGCTGCCCGGCCCACGCGCGCTGCCAGGTGAACCCGGCACCGCCCTCACCTGTGCGAGGCCGCGTTCGGGGGCTGCAAAGCTGGGCAGGCGCGCGCCCCTCACCTGCACCGGACCCGCTGCAGTCGCCACTCGGAAGCGCAGGGAGCAACCCTGACGCGGCGGGGGCGGGGGCATCACCGAGGGCCCCCGGACTTCCTCGGGCCCCCCCACCGCCCTTGCGAGCCCCGCCTAAAGGGGAGGAGGCGGCCGCGCGTCACCTTTGAGCAGCCTCCGACCCAAGCGCCCGCGCTGCCGCCGGGAGCTCGGCCGGGTGTTGCAAGGAGGCGCTATGCTTGGTGCTGGGCACTGGCTGGGCGTAGAGAAGGCGATTACTTGTAACTCATTCGTTTGGGTTGGCTCACAGGAAAAGGAAGGTGTGTCCAAAAAGTCCGAAGTGAGGAAATAGGACGAGGATGGCTTGCAAACTCGTAAAGTCTTAATAAGCTGTCTTCGCTGATACTCAGAAGGGTTCTCTTCGCTCCTGTAGGTCCCTAATAGATTCATGGGAAGACAGCAGCCTCCCTTTGTAACGCCCTGACCCTGGGAAGAGGTACCCGAGCCAGACAGCCTATTAACCTATGCCACGTGTGCGCGACTGTGGGTGGAAGATGCCCGCCCAGATCCACAGAACTGTTTCCTGAGCCTTGGTGCCTCATCTATGAGATAAGGCCGGCGTACTGCTCAGCAAGCCGTCCCGAGTACTCGGCAGAGAACCCTAAAGACCCTCCCGTGCGATTGTTGGCACTCAGCGAATATTTGCTATTTATTTCCCCTTTCCCTTACTTTCTTTTTCTACTTTTTTTTACGCCGCTTTCCTGCTGTAATTGTCTTATTGCACTTTGTTTGCTCGGTTTCACTGCCTGGTCAGTTTCTTTTCCCGTCTATGAACGAGCCTAAGTCTGTGCGCTCTAGGAATTTGGGTGGATTAGGAAAAGAAATGTATGATCCATGCCTTCTGGGAGATCAGGGACTCATCTCTGGGAAATAGCATTTTTAAATTAGATACAAGAGAGTTACAGAAAATAACCTTAAAACGGGAATGGGACCTCTGGGAATAGGCGAGCTCTGAAATGAAGCGTTTAGTTGGTGTCACTGGTGATTAAGAGCTCCGGCTTTGGAGTCAGACCTCAAATCAAATTCTGCCTGGGCAACTAATTGTGTAAATGGACGAGTTCACTTAACCTCTCTAAATTTTAACTTCAACAAACTGGTTGTTTAAATAGCTTAAAATAGCTTAAATAGCTTAAAATAATAGCTATCTCATACTTTCTGAGAAATTAATTAGGTAATTCACATAAAATCCTCATTACAGTGTCCTGGGCCATGGTAACCACTTAATAAAAGTTAGCTATTAACAATACTAAGGTAGGAAATGGGAGGAAGGGGCATAAAAATTTAGAAAACATGAGGACGTGATAGAAAACAGCTGCCACTGTCATGCAATTCCGACTTACAACAATAGCTACCACTGAGGAACACAACTTCGCACCAGTTTCTGTGATTGGCATGTAACACGTGATCATATTGAATTTTCACAAACCAGGAGACAGTTAATAAAATCTCTGATTCAAGATGAGGAAAATGAGCATCAGAACCATGAAATAACCTGCCTGAAGCTATGAGTCAAGTTAGTAGCCGAGTCAGAGCAAGCTGAGGCCTATGGCAAAATTGGCTTTTCCCACCGTGCCGAAGGTTACATCCCCTAGCAGAGAACAGAGAGAGGTAAGGGTAAAACAGCATGAAAGGAAGAAGAGAAAGAGCAGTAGGCAGACGAAGCAATCATACCTTTAAAGCTGACTAAGAATACAAATGAATTAAAATAGTAAGTGAACCCACACAAAAGCTTTTTTGCCTTTAACTCCTGCCCCAGTGGAGTTCCTGTTCTGTGGTTCCGGCAGTCCAACCGCATTTTTCAATCATTAAATGGTATAGAAAGTGAAACAACTAAAGATACAGAAATCTAAGGTCACAACTTGCCCTTCCCACCACAATACACTCATCTGCCCAGCTTCCTGGGTTTTTTGTTTTTAATTGTTCAAACATATTACCTGTCTCCTTTTCTATGTTCCACCCAGGAAATGTCCCTTCCAGGGAATAATATTGTTGCTTATACCAATTTAACTTTACTACATAACCACACCAGCATTTAGAATGGCAACTGGACTCATACATGTAGCTGATAAATTTTTAACACACTTTTGTTATATTGAATTTCTCTAAACAGATTTTGAACCAGGTCTTACATTATAGGCACTGGTCAGTGATGTCATAATTATACTTAAAAAAAAATAAAATCTCCTGCACGTATCATAGGCAGCTTTCTCTCTCTTCTGAGCAACCAGATATTTGGCCTCTGAAGAAATGCCCCTATTGTCAATGTGATAATTGAGGTGGAGATTTCCCACTTTCAGATACAATTGCTTTTATATCTTAGACAATGTATGTTTGGTTGCATGACAATCTAATATTGGCACCTCTTCTTTTAAATTGTAAATGGAAGATGTGTCTTCTGAAGGCCCAGTGTACTCCTTGGCTATCATGGCTATACTGCCTGTCATACATGCAGAAGCACGGTTAAGTGCATACAAAGGCTAGATAACAATTAGTGCAGTTATCTAGCCACGTCCCTGTGCCTTTTTGAATGAGCCAGAGTATTTCAAATGAAACAAATGAAAATTGCTGTAGCCACCCAGAGTCTTTGACAATGAGGGTTAAAGCAGTCTTCTCTAAAGAAGACAAGACCCTGTCTGTAAATGCATAGGATCTAGAGTTCCATATCTTCTCTGCTCAGTGGGAGCCTCCTTGGGTCATCCTATCAGAGTTGGCCATGCAGTCAACACAGTCTGGCTCCATTTGGAGGACACAGAGCTAATCTTGCTGGGACAAGTCCCTTTATGTCAAAGAGAAAGCTGTCTGAGATCTGCTAGCAGTAATGTAAGGGCTTGGCACCTAGCTTCCCTCACATTTTCCTTCGTTGGTGCTTCTCATCATTTCTGGGCCGATAAGAGCAGAAGTAGAAAAATGACTGAGACATAAACATGTCAATTTAGATCTACCAGGGGTTAAAACGAATATAATGGTTAAAGCAAACTTCAGTCTATTGTCCAAGTAACAAATGTTTATTTTAGTGTGTGCTTTAAGGAAGAATATGCACTCTGTTACGTGGCGTTGAGAAATGGTACTTCTTTTATTGTTAGTGCAAATAGTCTTTGTTATTATATGTACTCAGGATTTTTTTTCCTTTGGTATAATTATCATGTTATCCCCTTTTTATAGGCAGGTGTGGAGAGACCAAATTTAGTGACTCACTCCAGACCTAGCTCTGCCACTTACTAGTTACGAGTTTATCCTGTAGGCTTCACTTTCTTGAACAAAAGAATGGACCTAACAGAAAATGAGTCCTATTCTCTAATTATTCAGAAAGACTTCTTATAAAATCTCTTTGGAAATCAACATCAGCATTGAATTGTCCTAATGATGATTCTATGTATCAAGTTCTTTTCTTTCAAATACCTAAACATGTATTTAACACAAGCTGATTAGCTGGAAATGTTCACAGGTAGTAAGTTGTTCAAAGATCGACTTTTATGGATGTTGTACCTTTATTGGGTGGGAACTTTTATGGCCAAAATGAACATCTGGTAGTGGTTGCTTCTGAAAAGTTAAAATTATTAGAGGCTTGGAGTTAACTCTTAAGAGACTGAGTCTGCCATTCATTAGATGGGTAAAGAAGAACCAAATTTACTTCTTCAGATGAAGGTTAACTTTGCCCAAGATTACTATCTCAGTACCAACATTTTTGTCTGACGATCTGAATTTCATTCAGTTAATTGCTTAAAACTTCCCCTAGGCCAGGGGAGAGGTTCATACTGTAGAGAATTTCTGTGGCCCCAAATCACATTTATTGAATTGTTCTCTAGTGTGTTGTCATTGGCAATAGTGGGGGGTATCTTAAGAATCTACCTTGGGAAATACGTTGTTGAACATACATTTGGCATGTTGGTCGGGGTCATTGTTTTTTAAAATTACACTGCCTGTTTTAAGATGATCCAAGGTAGAAGTTATCACTCATCTCAGATACAAAAATCTTGAGCTTTTCCACAACAAATGGTTTGTTTGCATCTTATGGGTTCTGCAAATAACACAGTTGAATTTGTTTTCCTCTCTAATTGAGCCACTAGAATGCACAGAGTGGCTCACCTCTGGCAAGTATTCAGAAATGCTTATTTGTGCATTGCACATTACAGTTATCTGTTTTTCTACCTGTATTTTCCAAAATGAGAGATGAAACTAGGGGAATTTTCAGGACAAGAATATTTAGATAACAATCAATTCTCCATGCAAAATAAGAAGTACATTCATTGATGTATTCATTCACATAATTAGCATGTATTCATCATCTACAACCAGGACCACAAACTAGGGTGCCTACATGGGTGAGACTGGTGAAATAGAGATTGACTGTGGTCACATATAAGAAGATAGAGACTGTGGCAAATAGCAGAGAGTAGGCCCACCTAAAGACATTCAAATTTACTTATTGTTAACCCTGTGCTGGCTAAAAAATACAGGTGGCCGAAAGCCTGGCAACCAGTTTGAATCCCCTGATCCATATATTAAGCTCTGTGATAAACTCTGTGGATATAACACAAATATGATAGCTTCTGCCCTCCAATGGCTCACATTTTCGCTAGATGTGTAAACAGATAAACACAATAGAGTGTCAGAGTGAAGAGGCCTTGATAGTAGCACCTGCAGAGCCCAGCAAGTGGTGTAAAAAACCAGGTAGAAAATACACCAGAGAATCAGCAGAAACCGGGACCCCAGTCAGTCCCAAGTGATGAAAAAAGGGAGTCTTCATGGGTGAAACCTGGCTTACACAATTGAGATAAGTACAGACTCAACTGGCAGACAAAGATCAGTTCAATAAATGAAGCCAGCCATCTAGCAGTATTTCCATAATCTTAATCAGAAAATCAAAATATAGACAAATGTGGAGAAATAATAACTATGTCTATGGCTGAGGACATTAACAAATTTTGGACTTGACGTCTCCAGTCTGTCTTTGTGACTGGTTGGGATGTATAATTTGCATAAGTTTTCATTCATCCAGTCTCCCATTACTGCCTCTAATGATAACCTACAAAGAAAGTACAACATCACTAATTAATGGATTGAAAAGTAGTCAGGAAATAGACAAGGTCTTATTAAGTGCATAAGGACATTTGCAAACCAACCTGGTAGGCACCTGCCTGCTTTACTGATTTTTTTTTAGGCACGTCTTTGTAGTGACAATTGTTGCCACTTCCTGAAAAAATCCAAAGTAGAAAATAAGACAGTAAGTAATCTGACCTTAAGACTAAGTTAATTTCTTAATTTCTTAATTTCCAGTATGTGCTAAAGTTTTTCATTTTTCCTACTGAGAAATACCCAACTATAATGAAAAATTACACATTCTCTAAAGGGCTTGTTCTTTTAAAAAGTAAACTTTGATTAGGTTGAACTTCTATTCAGCTGACTTTAAAATGGAGAAGAATAAGGAAAACCTAATTCAGTCAGCACAAAAATATATTTTAGATATTTTAAAGGGAAAGGAGTAGCTTCATTTGTTAATATCAGACATCTTCTCAGTTGTAGTTTAGAACTTTCTACAGTGACCTTTGCATCCACCTTCAGTGTGGGCTGTGACCTGCCTCCTTATCCCTGATGGTTTTTGGTGAAAGTGAGCCCTACTTCATTACTTTGCAAAATGTAGTTCTATTCCAGCACCTCTCATCTGAAAACCCTGGCTTTATATTTCAAACTATGTGTACTGCTTTCATACACATTCATTGGCAAAATATGCTCAAGGAATCCACAAAACTATGAACAGAATCCTGGCTATGTGTTCATACAGCAGATTAAACTATTCTGGGTCTCTGTTAAGTTTTGTGTCTGTAATGCCTCGTTTCTGAAAGACTATCTTCTCCAGCAATGAAAACCAATCACTTCTCTTGAGAACCAACCAAATCCCAACATCATATTGTTGCACCTGAACATATTATTCGTATTTTAGTACATCACTGAAATACAATTTTGTTAAGCAATATTTCTTTGAGAGCTGGAAGTAAAGTAACAAGGAGTAGGCTCAGAGATCCACATTTAAAATGCATGTGGACACATTATCCTGCTGGCTGCCCATGTTCTAGGTAGTTCTAAAGTGCACATTTTAGCAAGATGTGCTCAGGGAGGCTCGTGTCCTCTGCAAGATAGAAACTTCCATGGTCACTTAATGATGAAACATGGCAGGCGAATAAAAGGCAGAATTAGCAGCACCATGAAAAGTGTGACTGGAAGTCAGAAGGGTGGAAATTAAAAATGGAAAATCAAGTGATCAATGAACAGTGGGGGGAAGCAAGCTGGAATTTAAATTGGCAAGACAAAACTACTATGGACCATCAGGACAAGAAGACCAGAAAGTGTGAAGATAAATAAGGTAGACAAGTCAAAAAGAACGGTCTGATTATATAAGTAATGATGATAATGAGCCCAATATAATCAAAGTTTGTACTATCTATAGTTGTAATGTAAGTCAGACAAGAAAATTGATTTTTTTCTTTGGAATCACACTTTCCTCAAGGTGTGGCTGTCACTGCAGTTTTTTGAAATACAGCAATACTCTGCTTAATGAACTACCATTGTACCTTATCCCACTATATTATTCTCTGAGAAAATATAAAAACTCTTTAGCTCATTCCTATAAGTGCAACTCAGGTGAATGCATATGCCTATTGTTATTAAGAAGAGTATAACATTAAAAAGAGTTATTTGCAAGAATTAGTGTTTTGTTTTAATATGTACCATCTACCTAACATGAGCTCTCAAAATAAAATTTGCAATTATATCTGCAGAAAATATGCTTTTTATTCCCCATTAATGTCTTTGTTCTTTTCTCACCTTGCCTTCTGCTCATGGCTTCCTATACATAGCCTTTGATTTACCACCTTTCCTATCACCCCATTTATTCTTTCATTTTCAAGTATCCGGCTAGATTAATTGTCAGTAACATGTGTCCAAATTCTATCTCCTCCAAAGCCCGCATAAATTACTGTCTCCTCCAGAAAGAATCCCCTCATTCCTCAACCAGAAAAGATCTCTCTCTCTCTCAGTAATCCCCATAGTGGCCAGATGTGGTGGCTCACACCTGTAATCCCAGCATTTTGGGACACCGAGGCAGGTGGATCATAAGGTCAGGAGTTCAAGACCAACCTGGCCGAGATGGTGAAACCCCATCTCTACTAAAAATACAAAAATTAGCCTAGCGTGTTGGTGGGCGCCTGTAACCCCAGCTACTCAGGAGGCTGAGCCAGAGAATTGCCTGAACCCAGGAAACAGAGGTTGCAGTGAGCCGAGATCATGCCACTGCACTCCAGCCTGGGCGACAGAGCAAGACTCCATCTCAAAAAAATAAAAAAAAATAAAAAAAGAATCCCCATAGCAATATTACCAGTTTTAAAATGCTTCACTCAAGAACAACTGCTTCTGTCTTTATAGAATACTTATTTGGAATATCTGTCTTATCTTTCGAACATTTGTTTCACAAATATTTCTGGAATACTCTGCTAGACAGTCTAGGCAGAATGCAAGCTTTCTGATTTCACACACTTGTCAACATATTAGTTATCTAGTGTTGTGAAACAAATAACCCCAAAACTTAGCTGTTTAAATCAACAAGCATTTATTATCTGAGTTTTGGTGGGACAGCTCTGGCTTAGATGGGTGCTTCTGACTCAGGGACCTCCCATGAGGTCACAGTCAAGTTGTCCACCAGGGCTGCAATCATCTCAATGGCACCTGGGTCCAGAGTGTCAGCTTCAAATCTCACTCATATGGTTGTTGGTAGAACTCACTCAGTTCCTTGACAAATGGACCTCTACATAGGTGGCCTCATGTTATGTGTCCTCATATTATGGCAACGAGTAATGAAAGAGAGAGAAATTGCAAGAGAGAGAGACCAAGATGTAAGCTACCATCATTTTATAACATAATCTTGGAAATGACGTCCTATAACTTCTGCTGTATTTTATTCACTAGATATAAATCAATAAGTTCATCAAAAATGCAGTGAAAGGGAACTGCATAAGGGCGTGAACATCAGGAGGATGCAATCAATGGGGGCCAATTTAGAAACCGCCAATGACACCTAATTAGCACAACAGATATGTAATAAATGTCTGATAAAAAAAAACTGTTTAGAGTTTGTTGAGTTTCTCGAATCTATGTGTTTATAGTTTTCAAAATTTGATGAAAAATGTTTTAGCCATTATTTCTTCAAAATTTTTATGTCCCCACCTCACCCTGCTTTTTCTATTTTTGGGTGCCTGTTACAGATAGGTTAGGCCATTTGACATTGCCCTACTGTTCAATAATACTTTGTTCATTTTTTTTCTTTTCCTCAAGCTTCTTTTCTCTGTGTGTTTCATTTTTGGATAGTTTCTATGTGTTCAAGTTGATTAATTTTTTTTCTGTAATGCCTTATCTCTGCTAATCCAATACATTTTTCATCTCAGACCTTGTATTTTTCCTTTTTAGGATTTTTACTTGTATCTTTTATATAGCTTTATAGCTTTTATTTTTCTCCTTCTTATGTTTATATTTTCCTCTGCTGAAAGTAGAGAATACATTGATAATACTGTTTTATCCTCTTTGTCTACTAATTCTATTATCAGTTTTATTTTTATTTCTGGGTTTCTTTAGATTGATTTTTTTCCTACTTGTAATGGGTCTTTTTCTTCTCTACATGCCTAGTAAATTTTGATTAAGTGTCATACAATGTGAATTTTATTAGATGTAAAATTTTTTAGAAATATTATTTCTTTAAATATTAGGGGGATTTTTTTTTCTTGAATGTAGGTAAGTTACTTGGAAATAATTTGATTTTCTTGAGACTTGTTTTTAAACTTGGTTGGGTGGATCCAGAACAATCTTTAGTCCAGGTTATAACTTTTGAGGATTCTACTGCATGTGTTAGCTCTTTCCTTACTGCCTTATGGGAACTTGAACTATTCTTAGCCCTGTATGAACCTCAAGGATTGTTCCACCTGCTTCTTTCGGGTGGTTACCTGAAATACATTAGCTAGTTGGTATTAAGCTAAACATTGAGAGAAATTCTTTGTTGATAGAGCTCTTTCTGTCTCTCTGGGGAGGGCGGCAGATGTTTCCTCTCTATACTCTCTCCCACAAATGATGGCCACGTTGGCCTTTCTAATCTCTCCTCAACTCAGAAAAGCCACCAGGATTTTCTGGATGTTCCTATTCCTGAGCCGTGCCCTGGAAACTTTACAGTCAGCTGAAGATACTGTAGGACTCATTTCATTTATTTCCCTATTCTTAAACTTCACAGTACTGCATTGTCTGTTGTTTAATACCTGAAAATGCTATTGTTTTATATGTTTGGGTTGGTTGTTGTTGTTGTTAAATGTAGGAAGACAAATTCAGCCCCTTTTAGTCCATCATGGTCAGTAGCTGAAGTCTAATCCTATAGACATTTGGCTCAATTTCAAACATTTAGCCTCCCAGAGACCTGTATGACATTTATTCTTCGTGAGAGAAGAGACTTGACTAAACTTTTTATAGCTGACAGAGACAGGTACTAGGAGTCAGAATATCTGAGTTCATAACTTGGCTCTTCAGAAAATTATAGTGGCATTTTCCAGGCAATTTCCTGAAGAGATTAGACCAAATCAAAGATTCTTTGTATTTTATTCAAGAAATTTACTGTATTACTATTATTATTTTCAATTTGGTTACCTTGAATATCTTACTGGCAGCTCAGATAAGTTGGTCCAGCCCCAAAATTCTTATAATGCCACAAATACTCAGTCAGGGGTCTGATGGCTATAACGTCTGTGTTGATCCAATTCCAGCCAAAAGCAAAGCAGCAGCATCTTAGAAAGCCTATGCAGTTTTATTATGGGAAACTGTCTACTTCCATACTTCCATTAAGAGTAAGCCTTTATAGATCTAGCACCTAAATTTTATAAATCTTTTCCTCAATGCTAAATAGTATCTTTGCAAAAGAAGTAATAACTCAAGACTGCACACAGGGATCACCACTCTCAATATTGACCAGTTTTTTAAATATCAACCAGGCAGATTTCCTGGTCTCAATGATACCAAGCAAAAATTCTCTGTCAAGACACTGCTCCTCATTCTCTTTGAAATATGCCAAGGATGAACTGATTTTTCCTTAAAACACTTGGACAAGATCTCATTGCATTCTAGATTAATATAACCTGAAGTAATTTGGAAATGAGGCTACCAAGCATAAAGTCACTGAGCAACTTTATCTTTCAAGGTAACTGGCAAATAATCAAAGACATAGCTCATGATCCAAAGCACTCTTACGCATCTTTCATTTGTAAGTGGAAAAAAGTACAACAACAGCATCAAAGGGTTTCTCAAAAGTGGCAGGTTCTCTATTACTATGCTCAGAGGAGTAACTTCCTTACCTGCAAGTTGTCTTTGACTGACCGTGTTCCTGTTCATTCCAAATCCAGCTCAGTGTCTCCTATTATATAATAGGACCTTATCACTTCTAGAACCACCTGCAGCATAAACAAAATCAGCCATGTAAATTTCCATTTCAAATTAGCTCTCTTTCCTAATTTATCTATATATTTTAATGGAATCACTGTTTAAGCTTTGGCTGATCATTTCTTTTTCTACTTACCTAATGTATTCTATCATCTGAACAACAGTGTTAAAAATTTGAGTGTCTAGAAACTTATACTAGGCTTTGTTTGCTTTTTGGCCAACAATGGGTCATGTTGAGAACTTAAGCAATAACAAGTAAATAAACTAACAGAACCTACTTCGTATAGTGTATGTGCTCAAGCTACTTATTCACTGAGGATGACCTTAAGCAGTTTAACATCCCTTATATGTGACTTGGAAAGAGTGTCTACATCAAAGGATTAGTGTGAGGATAATACATATTTTGAGTATGTCTAAGCCAAGTCAGATTCTCAAGAAATTTAACTGGTGGATGTGGTAGTGATTATAATGGTGATGATGATGATAAAGTTCATGCATGTAAGTAACCCTTGTCTCCATTATTGAGGTTTTTTCAGCATTTTATTATGAAGAAAATCTCAAACATACAGCAAACATGGAAGACTTACCATGCAAACCTGTATATCCACCACCTAGATTCTACTACACATTTTGTTGCATGCCTATTCAACCATCTAGCCCTCTATCCATCGGCCAATCTGTTTAATTTTGAAAGATTGAAAAGTAAACTGCAGACATTATTATACACACATACACACTGCATGTGTAGTATTAACTACAGTTCAGTATTTTTCTTTCAGTGTAAATGTTATATACATTCGCATGATCGTCAGTGTAAAGTCACTGTTTTGATGAAATAATGTACTTATAGTATCAAGATACAGGACATTATCTTCACCCCCCAAAGTTACTTTAAATCCGTTACCCTGGCAATTCCCCTCCATACACACATATTCACACAAACACACAGCGGCCTCACTTCTCACTTTTTATTTCAGGATTAGTTTTGCCTGTTCTGGAATTTCAAATAAGTGTACTCTTTTGTGTAAGGTTTTCTTTTTTTCACATCATTTAATGTTATTGAGATTCATTCATTTTGCTGTGTGTATCAGTAGTTTGTAATTTTTGCCAAGTGATAGTTTATTGTATGACTATATCACAGTTTGTTTATCTGTTTGATTGACGAACACTTGGTTGTGTTCATTTTGGGGATGTTATGAATGAAATTACTATGCACACTTTTTTATAAATTTTACTTTAAGTTCTGGGATACATGTGCAGAATGTGCAGGCTTTTATTTTTTTATTTTTTATTTTTTATTTTTTTTTTGACAGAGTTGCTTTGTCGCCCAGGCTGGAGTGCAGTGGCATGATCATATATATGTGCCATGGTGGTTTGCTGCACCTATCAACCTGTCATCTAGGTTTTAAGGCCCACATGCATTAGATATTTGTCCTAATGCTCTCCCTCCCCTTGACCCCACCCCCCGACAGGCCCTGGTGTGTGATGTTCCCCTCCCTGTGTCCATGTGTTCTCGTGGTTTAACTCCCACTTATGAGTGAGAACATGTGGTGTTTGGTTTTCTGTTCCTGTGTTAGTTTGCTGAGAATGATGGTTTCCAGCTTTATCCATGTCCCTGCAAGGGACATGAACTCATTCTTTTTTATGGCTGCATAGTATTCCATGGTGTATACACACCACATTTTCTTTATTCAGTCTAACATTGATGGGCATTTGGGTTGGTTCCAAGTCTTTGTTATTGTAAATAGTGCTGGTAATGTAAATATATTTGTGCATGTGTCTTTATAGTAGAATGATTTATAATCCTTCGAGTATATACCCAGTAATAGGATTGCTGGGTCAAATGGTATTTCTGGTTCTAGATCCTTGAGAAATCACCATTCTGTCTTCCACAATGGTTGAACTAACTTACACTCCCACCAACAGTGTAAAAGGATTCCTGTTTCTCCACAGCTTCACCAGCATCTGTTGTTTCCTGACTTTTTAATAATTGCCATTCTAACTGGTGTGAGATGGTATCTCATTGTGGTTTTGATTTGCATTTTTCTAATGACCAGCAATGATGAGCTTTTTTCATGTTTTTTGGCCTCATAAAAGTCTTCCTTTGAGAAGTGTCTGTTCATATCCTTTGCCCACTTTTTGATGAGGTTGTTTGTTTTTTTCTCATAAAGTTCCTTGTAGATTTTGGATATTAGACCTTTGTCAGATGGGTAGATGATTGCAAAAATTTTCTCCCATTCTGTAGGTTGCCTGTTCACTCTGATGACAGTTTCATTTGCTGTGCAGAAGCTCTTTAGTTGGATTAGAACCCATTTGTCAATTTTGGCTTTTGTTGCAATTACTTTTGGCGTTTCAGTCATGAAGTCTTTGCCCATGCCTATGTCCTGAATTGTTTTGCCTAGGTTTTCTTCTAGGGTTTTTATGGTTTTAGGTTTTGCATTTAAGTCTTTAACCCATCTTGAGTTAATTTTTGTATAAGGTGTAAGGAAGGGGTCCAGTTTCTGCTTTCTGCCTATGACTAGCCAGTTTTCCCAGCATCATTCATTAAATAGGGAATTTTTTCCCCATTGCTTGTTTTTGTCATGTTGAAGATCACATGGTTGTAGATGTGTGGTGTTCTTTCTGAGGTCTCTGTTCTGTTCCATTGGTCTATATGTCTGTTTTGGTACCATTACCATGCTGTTTTTGTTACTGTAGCCTTGTAGTATAGTTTGAAGTCAGGTAGCATGATGCCTCCAGCTTTGTTATTTTTGCTTAAGATTGTCTTGGCTATATAGGCTCTTTTTTGGTTCCATCAGTTCATCCAGTTTAAATTAGTTTTTTCTAATTCTGTAAAGAAAGTCAATGGTAGCTTGATGGGAACAGCATTGAATCTATAAATTGCTTTGGGCAGTATAGCCATTTTCACAATATTGATTCTTCCTATCCATAAGCATGGAATTTTTTTCCATTTGTTCATGTCCTCTCTTATTTTCTTGAGCAGTGGTTTGTAGTTCTCCTTGAAGAGGTCCTTCACATCCCTTGTAAGTTGTGTTCCTAGATATTTTATTCTCTTCGTAGCAATTGTGAATGGGAGTTCACTCATTATTTGGCTGTCTGCTTGTCTATTGTTGGTTTTTTAGGAATGTTTGTGATTTTTGCACATTCATTTTGTATCTTGAGACTTTGCTGAAGTTGCTTATCAGCTTAAGGAGTTTTTGGGCTGAGACAACGGGGTTTTCTAAATATACAATCATGTCATCTGCAAACAGAAACAATTTGACTTCCTCTCCTCCTATGTGAATATGCTTTATTTCTTTCTCTTGCCTGATTGCCCTGGTCAGAACTTCCAATATTATGTTGAATAGGAGTGGTGACAGCAGGAATCCTTGTCTTTTATGCACACTTTTAATCAAGTATTTTCTTGGACTTTTTAAAATCAGGTGTGAGGTCATAAGAGTTGATTATCTTCTGTTTCTTTTTTTAATTTTTTAAATTTTTGTGAGTGCATAGTAGGTATATATATTCATGAGGTACATGAGATACTTTGATACAGGCATGCAACGTGTAATAATCACATCAGGGTAAATGGGGGTATCCATGACCTCAAGCCTTTATCCTTTGTATTAAAAATAATCCAACTATACTATACTCTTTTAGTTATTTTAAAATGTACAATTAAATAATTATTGAGTATAATCACCTCATTGTGCTATCAAAACTAGATCTTATTCATTCTTTCTGACTACTTTTTTGTACTCATTAACTGTCCCTAATTCCATCCCACTCCCCTGCTACCCTTCCCAGCCTCTGGTAACCATCATTCTACTCTCTATCTCCATGAGTTCAATTATTTTAATTTTTCGCTCCCACAAATCAGTGAGAACATGTGAAGTTTGTCTTTCTCTGCCTGGCTTAACATAATGACCTCCAGTTCCATCCACATAGTTGCTAATGACAGGATCTCATTTTTTTAATGGCTGACTAGTACTCCATTGTATATATATACCATATTTTCTTTATCCATTGATAGACAGATGGCTTCCAAATCTTGGCTATTGTGAATAGTACTGCAATAAACATGGGAGTATAGATATATCTCCAATATACTGATTTCCTTTCTTTTGGGTATATACCTAGCAGTGGGATTGCTGTATCATATGGTAGCTGTATTTTTAGTTTTTTGAGGAACCTCCTAACTGTTCTTCATAGTGGTTGTACTAATTTACATTCTCACCAACAGTGTACAGGGGTTCTCTTTTCTTCAATTCCTTGCCAGCATTTGCTATTGCCTGTCTTTTGGGTAAAAGCCATTTTAACTGGAGTGAGATGATATCTCATTGTAGTTTCCATTTGCATTTCTCTGATGATCAATGTTGAACACCTTTTCATATAGCTGTTTGCCATTTGTGTGTCTTCTTTTGAGAAATGTCTATTCAGATACTTAGCCCATTTTTAAGTTGGATTATTAGATTTTTTTTTCCTATAGATTTGGTTGAGCTCCTTATATATCCTGGTTATTAATCACTTGTCAGAGGGGTAGTTTGCAAGTATTTTCTCCCATTCTGTGGGTTGTTTCTTCACTTTGTTGACTGTTTCTTTTGCTGTACAGAAGCTTTTTAACTTGATGTGATCTCATTTGTCCATTTTTGCTTTGGTTGCCTATAACTGTGGGTTATTACTCAAAAAATCTTTGCTTACTCCAATATCCTGGAAAGTTTCCCCAAACTTGCTTTTGTAGTTTCATAGTTTGAGGATTTAGATGTAAGTCTTTAATCCATTTTGATTTAAATTTTTATATGATGAGAGAGATAAAGGTCAAGCTTCATTATTTTTTATATGGATATTCAGTTTTCCCAGTATCATTTGCTGCAGAGACTGTCTGTTTTCCAGTGTACATTCTTGGTACCTTCATTGAACATGAGTTCACTGTAGACATGTGGATTTATTTCTTTGTTCTCTATTCCCTTCCATTGGTCTATGTGTCTGTTTTAATGCCAGCACCATACTCTTTTGATTACTATACCTCTGTAGTATAATTTGAAGTCAGGTAATATGATTCCTTTAGTTTTGTTCTTTTTTCTTAAGATAGCTTTGGTTATTCTAGAAATAGCTTTTGGCTTTTGTGGTTTCATGTAAATTTTAGCATTTTTTTTCTATTTCTGTGAAGAATGTCATTGGTGTTTCTACAGGGATTACATTACATCTAAAGACTGTTTTGGGTAGTAGGGACATTTTAACAATATTTATTCTTTCAATTCATAAACATGGAATATCTTTCCATTTTTTGTGTCATCTTCAATTTCTTTCATCAGTGTTCTAGGGCTTTCATTGTAGAGAACTTTCACTTCTCTGGTTAATTCCTACATATCTAAGGTTATTTTTAGCTATTGTAGATGGAATTACTTTTTATTTCTTTTGCACATTGTTCACTGTTAGCATATAGAAATGCTACTGATTTTCACGTTTATTTTGTATCCTGCAATTTTACTGAACTTGTTTATTAGCTCTAATAGACTTTTTGTAGATTGTATGGGTTTTTCTAGTGTGAGATCATATCATCTGCAAGCAAGGATAATTCGACTTATTCCTTTCCAATTTGGATGCCCTTTATTTTTTTCTCTTGTCTGATTGCTGTAGTTAGAACTTCCAGTACTATGTTGAATAACAGTGGGAAAAGTGGGCATCCTTGTCGTGTTTCAGATCTTAGAGGAAAATGTTTCAGTTTTTCCCCATTCAGTATGATACTAGCTGTGGGTTTGTCATATATGGGTTTTAATATGCTGAGGTGTGTTCCTTCTATACCAAGTTGTTTGAAAATTTTTATTGTGAAGGAGTGTTGAATTTTATTAAATGCTTTCTCAGTATCAGTTGAAATGATTGTATTTTTTTTTGTCCTTCATTCCATTGTATGATGTATCCCATTGATTGATTTATGTATGTTGAACTATTTTTGCATCCCTGGGATAAATCTCACTTGGTCATGATAAATTTCTTTTTTTTATCTTTTTTTTTGAGATGGAGTCTCACTCTGTCTCACCAGGCTGGAGTGCAGTGGTGAAATCTCGGCTCATTGCAAACTCCGCCTCCAGGATTCAAGCGATTCTCCTGCCTCAGCCTCCCAAGTAGCTAGAACTACAGGCGTGTGCCACCACGCCAACCTAATGTTTTATATTTTTCAGTAGAGACGGGGTTTCGCCGTGTTAGCCAAGATAGTCTCCATCTCCTGAACTTGTGATCCTCCTGCGTCGGCCTCCCAAAGTGCTGGGATTATAGGCGTGAACCACCACACCCAGCCAAATTATCTTTCTAATGTGTTGTTGAATTCAGTTTGCTAGTATTTTGTTAAGGAATTTTGTACCAATATTTATCAGAGATATTGGCCTGTAGTTTGCCTTTGCTGGTTTCAGTAAAAGGGTAATACTGGCCTCGTAGAGTGAATTTGAAAGTATTTGTCCTCCTCTATTTTTCAGAATACTTTGAGTAGCATTGGTGTTAATTCTTCTATAAGTGTTTGCTAGAATTCAGTAGTGAAGCCATTGGGTCTTGGGCTTTTCTTTGCTGGGAAACTATTTATTATGGCTTCAATCACATTACTTGTTATTGGTCTGTTCAGGTTGTAAATTTCTTCCTGGTTCAATCTTGGTAGGTTGTGTGTCTAGGAATTTGTCAGTTTCTTCTAGATTTTCCAATTTATTGACATATATTTGCTCATAGTAGCCACTAATAATCTTTTGAATACCTGCAGTATCAGTTGTAATGTCTCTTTTTTCATCTCTAATTCTATTTATTTGTATCTTCTTTATTTTTAATGTTAGTCTGGTTAAAGGTCTGTCAATTTGTTTATCTTTTCAAAAAAACAACTTTTCATTTCATTGATCTTTTTATTGTAGTCTTCGTTTCAATTTCATTTATATGTGTTCTGATCTTTATTATTTCTTTTCTTCTACTAATTTAGGGTTTGGTTTGCTTTTATTTTTCTAGTTCTTTAAGTTGCCTAATTAGTTTGTTTATCTGAATTTTTTCTACTTTTTTAAACATAGGGGCTTACAGCTATAAACTTCCTTCTTAGTACCTCTTTTGCACACACACATACACATTTAATAGTAAGTTCACTCAAATAACCAAAGAAAAGGTTATCAATTATTTTGCCTTTTTCTTGAGAGAAGAGTTGTTGTGTGCTAACTTTTATACAGTTGTCAGTTTTCTTTTCCATAATTTTGTGAAAAAATTACAGTCTTAATTCTGGAATGAACTGAGATTATATTTGCATTTTTCACCCACTTTGTTGAACATGATAATTTTGTATCATTGCTTAGTTTTAAGTTTTATAAAAAATAGTCTAAGTAGCATGTGCAAAATTCTAGAGGCCTCAGGTCCAGAGTCCTGGTCTCAGGTACAATGATAATTGCGCCTAGATCCTCTTGTCCCCCTATGTTTCATTGTGTTTTTTCTTTCTTTCTTTAAAGTGACTTGATGGGCTGTTTGAAGAAGGTTGCTCTTCTGCTGTCATTCAGTTAAGAACTGGACTTGGTGCAGTATTTCAGAAAGAGCACTACTGTACATCAGATAGTGGGGGATTGAGTCCTAGTATGGCCCTCACCATGCACTCACCATTACACTTTGGGAAGCCCTTCAATGACCTGTAATGGCATCAGCTTTTCAGTAGTATAACGAGGAAATGGAACTACATGATAATTAAACTATAATTGTGACTAATGAGGGCAATTTTAGAATATTAAGTCAAGTGAAACTTGACTTAATAGATTCTATGTTGTCTTCCTTTTTTTTTTTAATTACACTTTAAGTTTTAGGGTACATGTGCACAATGTGCAGGTTTGTTACATACGTACACATGTGCCATGTTGGTGCGCGGCACCCATTAACTGGTCATTTAGCATTAGGTATATCTCCTAATGCTATCCCTCCCCCCTCCCTACTCCCCCCACCCCACAATAGTCCCCAGTGTGTGATGTTCCCCTTCCTGTGTCCACGTGTTCTCATTGTTCAATTCCCACCTATGAGTGAGAACATGTGGTGTTTGGTTTTTTGTCCTTGCAATAGTTTGCTGAGAATGATGGTTTCCAGCTTCATTTATGTCCCTACAAAGGACATGAACTCATCATTTTTTATGGCTGCATAGTATTCCATGGTGTATATGTGCCACATATTCTTAATCCAGTCTATCATTGTTGGACATTTGGGTTGGTTCCAAGTCTTTGCTATTGTGAATAGTGCCGCAATAAACACATGTTGTCTTCCCTTTTGAACTTCCTTAGAATTCTTGAACCCTTATTACTTTCCCTCAAATTGCCAATAATTGTAAGGGTTAGTTTTATTGAATGATACTGTATGCTTGACCCAGCTTCCTAGGCAAGCAAATAACTCTCAGTCCCAAGTTCATGCAGCCAGTATGTGCTGGGATTTGAACCTAGCATAGTCTGAATCTAAAATCTGTGATCTTCAGCATTCCACATCGGCCTTTGAATATAGTATGTGCTCTCTATTTGCAGGGAGTTTGCACGTACATATTAAGGATTACTGCTGCTGATGATAAACCACCTCCCCCTAGAGCCTCCTTAGCATTCTATAAGTGGCAAAGATTGCTTCTGGCTGTGTAGCCACGAAGTAGCTGCATTTCCTCCTGAGTGAGAGGCCGGCAGTGCTGCTGGATTCAGCCCCTAATGGCTTAAGCCACAGCTGCATTTCATAGTAAGATGCTGCTGACTTTACCCTGCAACTTTCTTTCCTTCTCTACAGCTCATTTAAGATCTTCAATAGGCAGCCCAGTGTCTTTACGGAATTTTATCTCACAGATTGCAAGATTAACTTCTTCTGACTGCCGACATATTTGAAATTCTGGATCAATTCTATTTGATTAACATTTACGACACCTCTTATTATCAGGATAGGAATAGAAAGTACAAAAATGAATAAAATAATATTTATGTTCAAGAAGTAAAATATGGCTATCATAGAGATGTAAAATGGACATGTGTTAGAGATTTTAATTTGTTATTAATGAGAGGACCATTGAAATGTTACAACCAATGCAAAGGGAGGAAGTCAAAGAAACACAAATGCATATGGAGAAACTGGATTTTGAAATGAACTTGCAAATGGATGCAAAACTGCCTTTTCCAATGGAGGGAGATCTGTCTCTCCACTGCACATAACTAATCGGTATATCCATAGACTAGAATCATTTTGCCTTGCTATTACATATCTAAAATTTACCAAGTTATAAAATAGCTCAAAGATAATGAAAGGCTAGAGTCAGATAATCTGGACCAGTGTGCTATAGACAATAGTTTTCCCTGGAAATGAAATTTTTTAATACCTTAAGAACAAAAAGATATTAACATGTACCGGATGCCTATTAAACCCTATGAGATCCTCTGAGACACCCTGGAAGATATATGACTAGTACCTAATTATATGATTAAAAATACTGCTTTAAGAAATGTGTTGCACTGTCTGTCAGACCACAGTGCAATCAAACTAGAACTCAGGATTAAGAAACTCACTCAAAACCGCTCAACTACATGGAAACTGAACAACCTGCTCCTGAATGACTACTGGGTACATAACAAAATGAAGGCAGAAATAAAGATGTTCTTTGAAACCAACGAGAACAAAGACACAACATACCAGAATCTCTGGGACACATTCAAAGCAGGGTGTAGAGGGAAATTTATAGCACTAAATGCCCACAAGAGAAAGCAGGAAAGATCTAAAATTGACACCCTAACATCACAATTAAAAGAACTAGAGAAGCAAGAGCAAACACATTCAAAAGCTAGCAGAAGGCAAGAAATAACTAAAATCAGGCAGAACTGAAGGAAATAGAGACACAAAACCCCTTCAAAAAATCAATGAATCCAGGAGCTGGTTTTTTGAAAAGATCAACAAAATTGATAGAGCGCTAGCAAGACTAATAAAGAAGAAAAGAGAGAAGAATCAAATAGACGCAATAAAAAATGATAAAGGGGATATCGCCACCGATCCCACAGAAATACAAACTACCATCAGAGATTACTATAAACACCTCTATGCAAATAAACTAGAAAATCTAGAAGAAATGGATAAATTCCTCAACACACACTCTCCCAAGACTAAACCAGGAAGAAGTTGAATCTCTGAATAGACCAATAACAGGCTCTGAAATTGGGGCAATAATTAATAGCTTACCAACCAAAAAAAGTCCAGGACCAGATGGATTCACAGCCGAATTCTACCAGAGGTACAAGGAGGAGCTGGTACCATTCCTTCTGAAACTATTCCAATCAATAGGAAAAGAGGGAATCCTCCCTAACTCATTTTATGAGGCCAGCATCATCCTGATACCAAAGCCTAGCAGAGACACAACCAAAAAAGAGAATTTTAGACCAATATCTTTGATGAACATTGATGCAAAAATCCTCAATAAAATACTGGCAAACTGAATACAGCAACACATCAAAAGGCTTATCCACCATGATCAAGTGGGCTTCATCCCTGGGATGCAAGGCTGGTTCAACATACGAAAATCAATAAACATAATCCGGCATATAAACAGAACCAAAGACGAAAACCACATGATTATCTCAATAGATGCAGAAAAGACCTTTGACAAAATTCAACAACACTTCATGCTAAAAACTCTTAATAAATTAGGTACTGATGGGACGTATCTCAAAATAATAAGAGCTATCTATGACAAACCCACAGCCAATATCATATGGAATGGACAAAAACTGGAAGCATTCCCTTTGAAAACTGGCACAAGACAGGGATGCCCTCTCTCACCACTCCTATTCAACATAGTGTTGGAAGTTCTGGCCAGGGCAATCAGGCAGGAGAAGGAAATAAAGGGCATTCAATTAGGAAAAGAGGAAGTCAAATTGTCCCTGTTTGCAGATGACGTGATTGTATATCTAGAAAACCCCATCATCTCAGCCCAAAGTCTCCTTAAGCTGATAAACAACTTCAGCAAAGTCTCAGGATACAAAATCAATGTGCAAAAATCACAAGCATTCTTATACACCAATAACAGACAGAGAGCCAAATCATGAATGAACGCCCATTCACAATTGCTTCAAAGAGAATAAAATACCTAGGAATCCAACTTACAAGGGATGTGAAGGACCTCTTCAAGGAGAACTACAAACCACTGCTCAATGAAATAAAAGAGGATACAAACAAATGGAAGAACATTCCATGCTCATGGGTAGGAAGAATCAATATCATGAAAATGGCCATACTGCCCAAGGTAATTTATAGATTCATTGCCATCCCCATCAAGCTACCAATGACTTTCTTCACAGAATTGGAAAAAACTACTTTAAAGTTCATATGGAACCAAAAAAGAGCCTGCATTGCCAAGTCAATCCTAAGCCAAAAGAACAAAGCTGGAGGCATCACACTACTTGACTTCAAACTATACTACAAGGCTGCAGTAACCAAAACAGCATGGTACTGGTACCAAAACAGAGATATAGACCAATGGAACAGAACGGAGCCCTCAGGAATAATGCCACATATCTACAACTATCTCATCTTTGACAAACCTGACAAAAACAAGAAATGGGGAAAGGATTCCCTATTTAATAAACGGTGCTGGGAAAACTGGCTAGCCATATGGGGAAAGCTGAAACTGGACCCCTTCCTTGCACCTTATACAAAAATTAATTCAAGATGGATTAAAGACTTACATGTTAGACCTAAAACCATAAAAACCCTAGAAGAAAACCTAGGCAATACCATTCAGGACATAGGCATGGGCAAGGACTTCATGTCTAAAACACCAAAAGCAATGGCAACAAAAGACAAAATTGATAAATGGGATCTAATCCAACTAAAGAGCTTCTACATAGCAAAAGAAACCACCATCAGAGTGAACAGGCAACCTACAGAATGGAAGAAAATTTTTGCAACCTACTCATCTGACAAAGGGCTAATATCCAGAATCTACTTTGAACTCAAACAAATTTATAAGAAAAAAACAAACAATCCCATCAACAAGTGGGCGAAGGATATGAACAGACACTTCTCAAAAGAAGACATTTATGCAGCCAAAAAACACATGAAAAAATGCTCATCATCACTGGTCATCAGAGAAATGCAAATCAAAACCACAATGAGATACCATCTCACACCAGTTAGAATGGCAATCATTAAAAAGTCAGGAAACAACAGGTGCTGGAGAGGATGTGGAGAAATAGGAACACTTTTACACTGTTGGTGGGACTATAAACTACTTCAACCATTGTGGAATTCGGTGTGGTGATTCCTCAGGGATCTAGAACTAGAAATACCATTTGACCCAGCCATCCCATTACTGGGTATATACCCAAAGGATTGTAAGTCATACTGCTATAAAGACACATGCACACGTATGTTTATTGCGGCACTATTCACAATAGCAAAGACTTGGAACCAAGCCAAATGTCCAACAATGATAGACTGGATTAAGAATATGTGGCACATATACACCATGGAATACTATGCAGCCATATAAAATGATGAGTTCATGTCCTTTGTAGGAACATGGATGAAGCTGGAAACCATCATTCTCAGCAAACTATCACAAGGACAAAAAAACCAAACACCGCATGTTCTCACTCATAGGTGGGAATTGAACAATGAGAACACGTGGACACAGAATGGGGAACATCAAACACCGGGGACTGTTGTGGCGTGAGGGGAGGAGGGAGGGATAGCATTGGGAGAGATACCTAATACTAAATGACGAGTTGATGGGTGCAGCACACGAACATGGCAATGTATACGTATGTAACAAACCTGCACGCTGTGCACATGTACCCTAAAACTTAAAGTATAATAATTAAAAAAAATGTGTTGCAATGTTTAGAGTTACCTTAATAATTACTTGGGGAGGCCGGTTGCAGTGGCTCACACCTTTAATCCCAGCACTTTCGGAGGCCAAGGCGGACAGATCAACTGAGGTCAGGAGTTTGAGACCAGCCTGACCAACATGGTGAATCCCCATCTCTACTGAAAATACAAAAAGCCAGGCATGGTGGTGCATGCCTGTAGTCCTAGCTACTCAGGAGGCTGAGGCAGGAGAATGGCTAGAACCCAGGAGGCGGAGGTTGCAGTGAGCCAAGATCACACCATTGCACTCCAGCCTAGGCGACAGAGCGAGACTCTGTCTCAAAAAAACAAAACAAAACAAAACAAAATACATTAATTAATAATTACTTGGTGAGCTGGGATTTATTTGTATTTATATCTAATGATTCCAAAGACTACTTTTCTTCCTCACAAAGAAATCAAGATGTAGGGCAGGGACAGATGTGTCAATAATAATTATATGCCATGTGCCATGTCTATGTCTGTTTGCACAAGAGGGGCACAAAAAAATATCCAATGTGATCTCTTCACTTGTATGGCCTTTCGTGTCGCAGAGACGTACACATTTATGTTTTTCTAAAGACTTAAAAAATTTTTTAAACTATAGTTACTTGTTAGTTTCAAGTAACTTTTTGACTTTGGGCTGGGGGCTAGGGGCAAGAACACAATGGAATTCAGAACACAGAGGCAATAATTTAGAACATCATCTGCTTAGATAACTTTATTTCATTTATTCAGACATCATTCTTGTGAGCATCAAATTTTCATTTTAGACATTTAAGTTGCAATAAGGTACAAACATTCTTTCTCAGAATTATTTCTCAGCTTTTAAAATCATGTTTTTAAATTTCAGCCTAATTTTAGATTGACAGAAAAGTTGCAAAGATAGTACACAGAGTTCCTGCATATCCTTCATCTAGTTTCCCCCATGGAACCTAGATATATTTTACCATTGTAAAATACGATGGTACATTTGTCACAACTAAGAAGCGGATGCTGGTGTTTACTATTAGCCAAACACTGGGCTGTATTGGATTTCATCAGTGTTTCCATTAGCATCTATTTTGTGCTCCAGGATTCAGGCCAGGGTACCACATTGCATTTAGTTTGCATGGCTCCCCAGGCTCCTCTGCTCTGCGACAGTTTATCTGTCTTCCTTATTGTTCATTACCTTAACAGTATTGAGAAGTACCGCCCAGGAATACTGTAGAACACCTCCCCATGTGGGCTGGTCTGTCATTTTTCTTATGATTAGACTGGAGTCTACGTTTTTGGAAGAGTATCACATAGGTGAAGTGCCTTCATTGTCGCGTCATATTGTGGGGAGGCGCTATGTGATATCCACATGACATCAGTGGTCATGTTAACCTTCATCACACTATAATTTCTCAGAATTTTTAAGAGTAATTTTGGCTCTTGTTTGGTTGTTTCATCAGAAGTATGGAGATGAGAAGTTTAGAAGGTGGGTATCGTTCTCTGCTCTGCTGACAGTCTCTACTGTTCATGAGTCAGTGCCTTGGCTTTCTCTACTGTCAACGTCCTTCTCCAAACAGGAAAGGACAAGAAAAACCACCAACCCTGTTAAGTGGTGTGTGGTTTATTCCTGCACAAGCCAGAGCAGGAGGAACATGCTGGCTTCCAGTAATTCACGAAGAAGTTCTGCTAAGTCATTACTCGCCCCTCCTGTAGCAAACCCTGTAAAGCATAAGAGCATTTCCTGGGCAAATAATACATGGCCCCTTTGCAATCATGTAAAGTGCCTGTATAAGTTTTGAAATTAAGGAGACCCTGCTCGGTCTCAGAGAGATTCAGTCTCTCCCAGCCTTTCAGACTCTTCTAGTGGTCATTGGTAGGTTTAGCAGAAGTCTCTGTTGCCCTCTTTTTCTTTTTCTCTTCTTTTCTTTCTTTTTTTTTTTTTTTTTTGAGACGGAGTCTCGCTCTGTCACCCAGGCTGGAGTGCAGTGGCGGGATCTCGGCTCACTGCAAGCTCCGCCTCCCCAGTTCACGCCATTCTCCTGCCTCAGCCTCCCGAGTAGCTGGGACTACAGGCGCCCGCCACCACGCCTGGCTAGTTTTTTGTATTTTTAGTAGAGATGGGGTTTCACCGTGTTAGCCAGGATGGTCTCGATCTCCTGACCTTGTGATCCGCCCGCCTTGGCCTCCCAAAGTGCTGGGATTACAGGCGTGAGCCACCGCGCCCGGCCTCTGCTGCTCTCTTTTTGAGAATAAAAGGGTCACACCTCAGACTCTCTTCCGTGGATTCAGGTGGTGAAAGTGTTTTCTAAAATACATGTATAATGGACTAAAAATGGCAATCTCTTTCTTTTTAAGTTCTTTTTTTCTCTTCGCTTACACAGTCTGTACATAGGCAGTTTTTCTTTATAGAGATGCCAGATTTTAAGGGGAAAAAAACCGCTGCATGCATCGATCTTTTCGTATAAAACAAAACTCATTTTTAGATTAGTTTGGGAAGGGATCAAGAACAAAGGAAAATGAAAACAATTATTTATTTGTTTATTTTCTTGGAGGCTTAAAATGGGCCACGCCTACTTTCTTTTTGGAAAAATACTACAGGAAGCCGACTGTCCCGTGTTAAAGGAATATGCTCGAACAAATAAAGTGAGTTTGGCAACAGGCTGGCTGTCTCTTACACCAGCTTCTCCCAGCCTGAAGCTCAGGGGAAAGAGGGGCCCGCGTGTATGCAAATTGCAGGGATTTGTGGTAGGAATTACTTCACTGAATGACGCATTTCCCAGTGGTATCTATAGATGGGCTTTTATTGTGTTTGAGGTTTTAAGTGAAGAGTGGGAAGATTTGCACAGATAGAACCATTTAACTCAATCTAAACATAAAAAAAAATAGCCAGCCTATTAACTGGTTGAATTCAGTTTCAGTTAGACTAATTTAGAGGGAATTGTCAAAGAACTATTTTACAGACCATTGTAAACGTTAAAATCAATATCGATTCAAGTGCATTGAAGAGACAGACTCCCATTTAAATATGTTGTTATTAGAAAGGGATCCTCCACTTGTATTTGTTGTAACTCTTACTTTTAAAAAATTGAGTTATAGTTGACATAATTAAGTGTATGTATGTATATACGTATATATGTGTCCAATTTAATAAGTTTGACATATTTCTGTACCAATGAAACCATCACTCCGATTAAGGAGGGGATTACAAAAAGGCGTATGAAAGTTTTTCAGAATGATAAATATGTCTTGATTGTAGCGATGTTTGTTATTTACATTCCAAATTTTAGGAGTTTTCAAGAGATCATTCTGGTTTTGAATTCTAATTTAAGTCTCAATTTACCAAAGACACACTGCACAATATGAATAATTTAAAATTTATTGACGGTTGTTTTCTTTCTCAGATTATGGTCTGTCTTTGTAAATGTTCCGTGTATGGTACAAAAAATGTATATTCTGGTGTTTGGAGACGGGTTATTCTATAATGTCAAAAAAGTCAAGTTTGTTTATAGATTTGTTCAGTTTTCCTATATCCTAGGAAAGTCATAAAGTCTACTTATTCTATTTTATATTTCTCCCAAAATAGTTGGGATATATTATTGGGAAATATATATAATAAAATAAAAATAATAAATAATAAAAATAATTGGGATATATTATTGGTAAATATATTATATTTCTCCCAATTATTTTGGGAGAAATATAAAACTCTCTATTTTTGTGATTTTGTCTTTTTCCTTACAGTTCTAGCAGATTTTGTTTTATAAATTTTGAAGTTATTTTATGCAGAACATACACATTTCAGATTCTTTTGTCCTCCTGACTAGTTGACATTTTTATTATCAGGAAATTAACTTATTTATCACTAGTAATATTCTTTGTTTGAGATCTACTTTGTAGGATATTAATATAGCTATTACAATTATTTTTAGTGATAGCATGGTATATCTCTTTCATCCTTTTATTTATTTTTTAAAAAGACTTCATTTTTAAAGAGCAGTTTTAGGTTCACAGTAAAACTGAGAAAAATGTACAGAGGATTTTTGTGTAGACCTTGCCTCCACACATGCATAGACCCCCACAATATCTACATCCTCCACAAGAGTGGCATATGTGTTACAACTGATGAGCCTACATTGTTGCATCACTATCATTCAAAGTCCATAGTTTACATTAGGATTTAGTCTTGGAGCTATACATTCTATGGATTTGGACAAATGTATAATGCATACAGTTAGAGTATCACACAGAGTAGTTTCAGTGCCCTAAAAATCCTCTATGCTCTACCTCTTCATCTCTCCCTCTTCCCTATTTCCAGGAAACTACAATCCTTTTACTGTTTCCATGGTTTTGCTTTTTCCAGAATGTCATATAGTTGGAATTATACAGCATGTAGCTTCTTCAGATTTTCATTTCTGTGGTGACATATGACATGGAACATACTTTCATATGCTTATTTACCATCTGTATTTCTTATTTGGTGAGCTGTCTGTGAAGGTCTTTGATCCATATTTTAATCAGGTATTTGTTGTCGTATTATTGAGTTTTAAGAGTTCTTTGCATATTTTGGATTACTTGTGAGAAACACACTCACCCATCCAAACCCAAAGAATGGACTTAGAGGCACAAAGAACAGCAAACGGTCTTGCAAGATCAGGTGTCTGATAGGCAGGCACATCCTGGGCAGTCACAACAGGTAATTTATCTCCTAGCATGCAAGTCCCTCCCCCAGTTCCTTATTGGTCAAGTACTATGGGGTTACAATCTTCCCAGACGTCACCTAAGTTTTATTATTTCCCTTATAAGGTTATATGCCATCCCAGTCCCCGCTTAAGTTTTGATTTCCCAATAATGAAACTTTCTTCCCTTTTATGGGCTGACCCCTCCTCTACATTCTATTCACTTACTGTGACCTTCTAGGTTCATGAGCCATGCAATTTGTTACATTTGCAGGCTGGCTGCCAGTACTTAGACTTATCATGCCTTGAAAGTGGACCATTTAAAATGTTTTCTCACATTACTGTCCTTTAACCAGATTTGTCTTTTGCAAATATTTTACCCCAGTCTGTGGCTTACCTTTTCATTCTCTTGTCAATGTCTTTTGCAGAGCCGAAATCTTTACTTTTAATAAAATTCGGCTTAACAACTTTTTGTCGTGGATTGTGTCTTTGACATCGTACCTAAAAAGTTTTCTCTGAACCAAAGGTAATTTTCATTTTCTCCTACGTTGTCATCGAGGTGTTTTATAATTTTGCATTCTGCATTTAGGTCTGTGGATTACTTTGAGTTAATTTTTGTTAAGGGTATTAGGTCTGCATCTCAATTTGGGGGTTTTTGTCTGTTCATTTTGGTTTGTTTTTTTGTTTCTGTGCATTTGGATGTCCAGTTGTTCTGGTGCCACTTGTTGAAAGAAACGATCTTTGCTTATTGGATTATTGTTCCTTTGTCAATCATCAGTGGGTTATATTTATGTGAGTCTATTTCTGGCCTCTCTCTTCTGTTCAATGGATCTATTTTTCTATTCTTTCACAATACCACACTGTCTTAATTACTCTAGCTTTAAAGTAAGTCTTGAAGTCAGGTAGTGTCAGTCCTCTAAGTTTGTTCTTCTCCTTCAGTATTATGTTGAATATTCTGGGTCTTTTGCCCATACTTTTTATATTTTTGTGTCTTTATAAAGTTTTTTTTTTAGGCAGCATGTAGGTAGCTCCTGCATTTTTATCCAACTTTACATTTTAATTTTTAATTGGTGTCTCTGACAATTTATATTTAATGTGATTATTGGTTTTATTAGGTTTCAATATATCATCTTTCTACTTATTTCCTATTTGTCCTCTCTGTTCCTTGTTTCCGTTTCTTCTTTTTGTAACTTCTTTGGAATTAGTTGAGTGTGTGTGTATGTGTGTGTGTGTGTGTATATATATATATTTTTTGAGATGGGGTCTCGCTCTGTCACCCAGGCTGGAGTGCAGTGGCGCGATCTTGGCGCACTGCAACCTCTGCCTCCTGGGTTCAAGCAATTCTCCTGCCTCAGCGTCCCGAGTAGCTGGGACTACATGCGCCCGCCACCATGCCCAGCTAATTTTTATATTTTTAGTAGAGACAGGGTTAAACCATATTGGCCAGGCTGGTCTCGAACTCCTGACCTTGTGATCCGTCCACCTCAGCCTCCCAAAGTGCTGGGATTACAGACGTGAGCCACTGCTCTCAGCCGAGTATATTTTTTTTATGATTCCATTTTGTCTTCTTTTAGATTAATTAGCTATACTCTTTGTTTTATTTTAGTCTTTTTCTAGAATGTGTCTTGAACTTATCACAGCCTACCTTCAAGTGATATTATACCACTTTATGTAAGTATAGAAGCTTTGTAATAATTTTCTATTTCTCATCTCCTGATTTTTGTGCTATTGTTCTGTATTTTACTTAAGAATAAAACTGAACAAAGGTAAAGGAAGGAAGAAAGGAAGAAAATAAAGGAAGGAAGCAAGAGAAGAGGCCGGGCGCGGTGGCTCACGCCTGTAATCCCAGCACTTTGGGAGGCCGAGGCGGGTGGATCATGAGGTCAGGAGATCGAGACCATCCTGGCTAACAAGGTGAAACCCCGTCTCTACTAAAAATACAAAAAATTAGCCGGGCGCGGTGGCAGGCGCCTGTAGTCCCAGCTACTCGGGAGGCTGAGGCAGGAGAATGGCGTGAACCCGGGAAGCGGAGCTTGCAGTGAGCCGAGATTGCGCCACTGCAGTCCGCAGTCCGACCTGGGCGACAGAGCGAGACTCCGTCTCAAAAAAAAAAAAAAAAAAAAAAAAAAAAAAGAGAAGAAAGAGAGACAAAACAGAATAGAACTGTAATTCCTTATCTGCAATTCAGAAATACAACAAGCTCTGAAAAAAACATAAGAATTTGATGACACAGTTTACAGGGATAATTGACACAATCTGAGTTAGTTTGGTGGCAAAGCCTGAACTAACATGCCATGAGGCAAGTTCTAGTCTTCATTTATACCTCTCCGTATAATTATTCATATATTTTTCTATAGAAAGTTGTGTCAAAAATTAACCTAACAGGCCTGAAACTGCTACTGTTAGAAAGCCCTGCTTACATGATTGGCCCTCGACTGGCATCTGGGAACTTAGATTTTAGGAGGGTCCCTACCATTCCTTAAGATATAAGAGGGACTCACTGTCCCTAAACAGTTTATACAATGTGGTTTATGCTGAAAACTTGTTTTTCTTCTGGGAGTCTGGAGTTTTGGTAAATGCTAGGCAGAGTGTATTTATGTGCCTAGTCCCCAATAAAAACACAGAGTACTGAGTCCCTAATGACCTTCTCTGGCGGACAACACTTCACATGGCTTGCAACAACTTGTTGCCAGAGAAATTAAGCGCATCCTGCGTGACTCCTCGGGGACAGGGCTCCTGGAATCTTATTGCTAGTTTCCTCTGGATTTCACTGTGTTAACCTGTTTCCCTTTGCTGATTTTTCATTGTATCCTTTTGTGGTAATAAATCATAGCAAGGAATATGAATATATGCTGAGTCTCATGGGTCTTCCTAACAAATCACCAGATCTGGAAGTGGTCTTGGGGACCCTGGACACAAAACTGAATATAACTGATTATAGGCTATTGCTCCAAAACATGCTGGGATTGCTGTGTAGCATGTGCTACACAGCACATTTGTATGTCTTCTCTAAAATCCCCAAATTCTGAATTTCAAAACACATCTAACCTGTGATTTTCGATAAAGGAACGTGGAACCATGTTTACAAACCAATAGGCGATAGAATATGAATTGTTTGCAGAAATAAGGAGTGGAGGGTTTTCACTGATTACTGATCCTTTCCAGGTAGGATAAAGGATGATACCTTAGACCAGGATGATGGCAATAAAGATGATAGTAGCAGTAATAATAATAATAATAATAGTCATAATAATAGTTAACATTTCTTCACTTCTCATGCTCAGCACCAGGAATTATTTACAACCTCCACCATAATTCTTTGAAGTAAATATTAGTTTTCATTTTTTATTGAAAATAAACTGAGGCTCAGAGAAGTTTTGCAACTTGACCAACATCAAGAAGTTCACAGGAGTTGGAGACCAGATTCAAACTCAAGTTCATATAGCTAAAGGATTGAGCCCTGTGCAATGCTACAAGAAGTGACTGCTCTGCACATTGCTCATTTTTCTATTTTCTATCATCAGCTCTGTCTCCATTGTGCACAGATTCACTCTGGGATTTTCACTAGTCTGTGCCTCAGACTTATTTACAGAATATCATACAGAACTGTCTGCTTCTCTCAGTTAGCGCTGCTGGTTGGCAGAAGAAAAGGTTCTTTTGTGTTCCTTCCGTGAGCTTTTGTTCCTTTACCATTTAATCTGCACCACATATTGATTTTCTTTCATGCAGTGATCTTGTATTAAATACTTTTCTGAGTGCAGATAAAGGCGAACTTTATTAGTCTCACTCTATAGTAGAAGAAACCCAGTCACAGAGGAAAGGAAAAAATATAAGGAAGTCAGGATGGAATCTAGAACTTGGATCTCAACAAAGACAAAGACTAGGCAGGCCGAAGAGGTGGGTCTGACATTTGATTTATCTGCATGTAGCATGTACTGAATGTCTCAGGCTCAAAGCTCTCTGAGAAAGCAATACTTGGATGGTCATTTGCAGCCAGTAGCAAAACATGACACAGGACATAAAGGGTAAGGCTCACAGAAGGAAGAACACTCAACCAAGAGTCAAGGGGTCTAGGTCCCACCAATGTACTTCTGCTTCCTTATGGTGCAACATTGAGCACATTGCTTAGCTTTACTGAGCCTCAGTCACCACTGAAAATAAAACAGGATTGTTCAAAATTACCCCCAAACTTCCCTTTAACTCAAAATTATCTGATCATTCAAAATAAATTTTCTGAGACAAAATAGGTGTCACAAGAGGCATCTGAAGAAAAGAAGAACTATCCTGTCAGTGAAATATTTACCTAAAGAACTATTTCAGGAGTAAGTCAGTATCTATAGTAGGATTCTTAAGGGCTTCCCTCACCCCATATCCTAAGGCTTGTGTTTACCTTAAAATGTCCTCTCATCTGTATGAGGTTTCAGAGGTTTTGAGAGAACAGTGTCAGAGTCGTAGTGTTCTAGGGTCCAGCACGTTCTATGTGAATGAATTTAATTTTATCTTTATTTTTTGGTCAATAAATAGTTTTGCCCTTCATATGGAGAAATGGGATAATATTTCAACATTTAATATTACATAATACTTTTTGTCTTATGACGGTACTGGGGATTATCCCAAAAGACACATGAGGAAATATAGTATAGCTAAGAAAGCTGTGGACTTAGCCAAAAAAAAAAAAAAAAAAAAAAAAAAAAAGAGGCTGACTCGGATGCTCACACCATTGACTATGTGACATCAGGTGGTAACTTACCTCTCTGGGTGACTGTGCTCCTAAGTGAAGTCAGAGTACAAGGGCCAGTTCTGCCTTTCTCAGTGAGCTACTGAGTTGAATGAAATAGTATGCTACCTGGAACTCACATGTAAGTGTAGCCCACTGGGTGGGTCCCAGGAGATTAAATGTACATGTCTTCCATCAAATGCTGCTCAAAAAAAACTTGTGAGGACAGGAATTATCACCCCATTCATGTCTCTGCCCAGCAGGTTACACGTTTTAGTTTGATCACCAAACTGGAAGCACAAGTCCAGAATAATCAGCCAAGTCATGATTCCAGGAGTTATTAATAAGTTGATGTTAATAATAGCAGGTTAAATGTACTGAATGTTTACGATGAACACTCTGATGCTTAGTATTTTTGCTATGTTAAGTCTTTTAACCTATTATAGTAACCTGTGAAGTAAATACTACTATTATCTGCATTGAACAGATGTTCAATTGTAGGGTACCCAAGATCTAATTCTAGAGTATATTTTGACATAAAACAGGTAGCCAGTATCATAGCAGAAACAGATAGGGAAAGCAGTCATCTTTGGAAATATGTAGCAAACTTGACACTTAAAGAAAAATTTCAAGCATTGACAGTTTCTACAGCTCTACAAACTGTCCTAATATTAAACAGCTAAATCCCAGGGCAAAGAGAACATAGACAAAAAGGAGAATTTTAGATAGGATGCTAATTTTAGACAGCAGCTATTCTCTTGGTCTTTCTTGTTAAAAGTTATTATTATCTTCTCATTTAGGAGTAAATGCATATCCATATCAGAACTTCACTATATAAAACCATTTTGTGGCTGTCAATGATGTAACAAAATATGTACGGGTCTTAGTGCAGAATGTGGGTTTCGTCGCATTGGTGAATCTTTTAGCTATCTTTGCACAGCTCCTCTTCAAGATCTTCAGCTAAGGTATAGATCAGATGTTGCAAACTTTTTTATAAGGGGGCAGATAGTAAATATGTTCAACTTTCCAGGTCATAGCCTCTCTCACAACTACTCAATCTGCCAGGATAATAAGAAATCACCCATAAGCACTATATGTAAATTGGCATAGCTGTGTTGCAACAACATTTTATTTGCAAAAATAGTCAATAGGTCATTTGCTTACCTCTATTATATGCCTGGGTATTTTTATTAGGTAATGTGCAACTCATCTCTTTTTATCTAGGACTTTGTCAGGTTTAGCACTTGAAAGGCCTATGTCCCTGAACTCCCTCATTCCAAACTGGGAAGATGGTTTATCATAGACTATTAGGTGGGTTTTATTTGTAATTTCCAATAGTCTTGAAACATAGAGCACACCAAGCATGATAAGAATCACCCACTCTCCACTAAAATTGCCTTGGCTAAACTTTTATCTGTCAGCATAAAGTTATACATGACAAATACATTCTGTAAACCCTCAAGTGTTATGCACAAACAAGGCAATGGTGCTAGATCACAATTTTCCTTTTCTACATCTGCTTCCATAGAGGGACCTCTCCCTCCCTCTCACAATTGGCCCTGTCTTTAGATAAAGCTACGAACTGAATGTTGGAAGGTGCCTGAACATCTCACGAGATTAAAGTCAAGTTATAATAGAATTGTCATTCTTGGACTAATTATTACCGTGTTCTAGTGAGCCCCAGAGAGTCCGCTGAATTTCAGTTGATAAACCAAAGAGAGAATATTCAGGGACTGAGGTAGTGCAGCAAAAAGCAACCTCAAACGGAACACTAATTGAATGTTTTCTTGGCAGCTTGAGCTAGCTCCTGTGTGGATTTTCAGAATGAAGTGTTTGGAATTATTGAAACCATCAGCATGTGATTTATCTACTCTCATAAAGGCCCCAGCACAGCCGACCTGCAAAGAATAAGCAGAAGCTCAGGGTACTTAGGATCAGAAAATTGGCACCTACCATTGCTACCCACTGTAGCCTAGGACAAATCCCCGAAGCCTTGAGGACTCCATGTCTTCATCTTCCAAACAGTGATAATACCAAGCACTTCATAAAGTTGTGATGAGAGTGAAAGATGATGGTCCATGGAATTCGAATTTGCCAGAATACATCTTTGTACAAATGCTTTGACTTTCAATGACGCTACAGCCTCTTGTGAGATTGCAAATCCAGGGGACCTAACCCTGTCTTGGTGAGTCATAAAAGGCATCCTAAAAATAACTACTTTTTCTGTTAAAAGTTAAAGGATGATTAATGTTTATTTAAATAAAGGAAAAGGGAAAAAGAGACACAAGTGAGCTTGAAAGAGGGAAAAGCCATTGTGAAGACAGAGCGGTGAAAGAAAGCTAACACAAGAAAAGAACAGAGAGAGAGAGAGAAAAAAGTTCAATGAAGTAAAAGAAATCACATAAACTGGAGGGGAAGGGACCCATGGGGGAGAATGGAGAGAGCCCTGCCCAGATCGTGCAGAAGAGATTTTTTTAAAAATTCTAATTTTAAAGCATATTGGATGTCAAATGTTAATATTTGCTGCTTCTTAGCCACTCAGTATCCATTTACCTTACTTCCAAAAACTGCTTTCAATATTTTTCTGAGATATTGGACTCCTACATCCACATTCATAGACTCTCAGGCCCTGTGCTTCTGATGGCATTGATTCCACCCCTGGCTACAGGGGAGGAGGAGCAGCTTGCACTTTGTTCAGTACTGCCGTTGGATCTGGGCAAGAAGGTCCTGCCCTGCACCCTGTGCCCAGAGGGCCTTGCTTTGCCCTTCTTCCATCATATTCGTCTCCATGGTGTAGAGCGCGCACTGGGCCAAGCTGCTGTGCCCAACTGGAGCCCCTACTTCCTGTTATAGTAAATGTTCTAGATCTAGGTTTCTAGGCTTCCAAAATTACCTACCTAAACATCCTCACTCCTTACAAGCAATGTGGTAGTCTCTTCCCCCTTCTGAAGGCAGATCCTTCAGCTAGCATGCTTATGCTTACACTTGGCTCAGGAGTGGGTAAGAGGTGGTTTTTTGTGGTTGTGTGGACCAAACATGGTTGTACAGGCAGGGGTGTCGACATATGTGCATGTGAGGCCCCTCCTGCTATAGAGTAGAGCCAGGGAAGGAAAGAGAATGAGTCACGCTTTGTGCTACCTTCCTCTGTGATGCTGCATTCCAGAGAAAGACCCCAAATAGTCTGGGAATTCTAAATGCAAAATGTTATTATGATGATATATTGCCAAGGTAAGAGAACAGAACATATTTTACTTAGCAGATAATTTGGTTTATACCATTAAAATATTTCAACATATGGTATATAGGTCTCCATCTATAATCTTGCTCTGGCCCGCGCTAAGAGTCTGGAGTGGGACTAGCCTGGCCATTCAAAGCAGAACATTACACTGGCCATGGTGACAGGTCAAAGTTTGGCCATGGGCTCCAGGCAAAGATAAAGAGAAACACTGAAGGTTTTACTGGTCTCCTCGGCAAGACACTATTCCTCTTACCACTTGGCTTGAAGCTGAGAAGATGAGGGTCCCGGAGTAGCAGCATCCCTCTTGTCACCGTGTGGCATCTCAGAAGGAATCTGAATGATTTATGCAGGAATGGGTTTTGAAAAGTGGAGAAAAAACAAGGCCTAGCCATTGATCTCTTGATTAATTAGTAGTTAAACTCAGATTGATCCTGAACTTTTTCCATTAGGTAATCCAATAAATTTCATGTAAAATGCATCAGTTTGGACTGAGATTTCCATCGCTTCTCTCAATCAATACATAGTAGCAAATAAAAAACATAATAATAGATGATTTTTAATCCACCCCTTTTAATCAAACAATTCCATTTCACCCATTCATTATCTCTTACCTCTATCCAGACATTAATTTACTGAGATATTAATGGTCATGCACAGGAGGTAAGATAGCATAATTATTAGGGAGAAGTCAAATAAACCTTAAAAGCTCATGACTTGGTCACACTGAAGCCAACTGGATGTTCTTGTTTGGGATTTAGATCCCTGAAGAAGTGTCCCTGTCCTACATAGTGACAGTTGAGATATCATTTATGGTGCCATGGTAGCATCAGGCATCCTACAACAATTATGTTGATGTCTATTGATGGTGCTGCTGGCAGAGATATCCTGACCAGATGGTCCCTATAGAGGAAACTACCTGGACTGTATTTCCTTTCGTCTGGTCTCTCTCATCTCAGTTCATTCTCTAAGCTTAGTTCTTCAGCTTCCCATCAATTCTGGGAGTTACTGGGTCTCCTCCTAAGACAGCCTTCCTTAGGCGGAATTGGACTTTATTGTATATAACCAGGCATCCTTCCAGACACAGACATCTACTGTATGGGGTGCAAGAGTGTCTTAAAAGGCCATATACCCTAAGGCGCAGGATAGAGGCTAGATAGCAGCATTGGTCTGGGATTGACTGTTGAGTTTAGTTGGGGCTGAAGATAATTTTAAAATTCTTTATATTAAAGAATAGGATTCTGGAAGCCACATTCAAATAAATATTTTCTGTTGATGAAATGATTACATGACTGCATGTGGTCACCAGAAAAAAAAGTGTCCACTGAGGGTCAGGGTGGAGACCCTGATATCACTAAAATTAAAAAGTTTGTTGGGCATAGGATCTTCAAGGAAGAGAGAGTGAGGCAGCTGCCTTTCATACCGCTGGACAGTATAAACAAAGAAGAAAAGGAGGCTTGCACTTCTGAAGTTTTGATTCATACAGTTTATAACCTTTCGGTATTGACTTTTTTCACAGCATAAAATTTTTAGAAATTCATTCATGTTAAGGCATGTATCTATTGTTTAAAACCTTTTAGTGCTGAGCAGTAGCATTCCATGGTATGGATGTACCACATATGTGTAATCATTTTTCCACTACAGGATATCTGGATTCTTTCCAGTTTGGGGCTATTAGAGTAAAACTGCTATATTTATTTACATACAAATTCTCCGTGAATGTAAATTTTTATTTCCCTATGATAAATGCTTAGGAATACAAATATTGGGTCATATAAGAGTTGCAGAATTTTTTTTTTTTTTTTTTGAGACAGGGTTTCGCTCTTGTTGCCCAGGCTGGAGTGCAGTGGCACAATCTTGGCTCACTGCAACCTCTGCCTCCCAGGTTCAAGCAATTCTCCTGCCTCAGCCTCCTGAGTAGCTGGAATTACCACGCTCGGCTGATTTTGTATTTTTAGTAGAGATGGGGTTTCTCCATGTTGGTCAGGCTGGTCTCGAACTCTTAACCTCAGGTAATCTGCCCGCTTCGGCCTCCCAAAGTGCTGGGATTACAGGCGTGAGTCACTGTGCCGGGCCGCAGATTTTGTTTTTTAAGAAGCCATCAAAAAGTGTTTTCCAGGAGAGCAATATCATTTTACATTTCTAGCAGCAGCTTATGGGCGATCCAGTTTCTCTGCATCCTTACTAGCATGTGGTGTTGATGCTATTATTATTATTACTATTTTACTTTTTTTTTTTTTTTTTTTTTTTGAGACGGAGTCTCACTCTGTGGCCCAGGCTGGAGTGCAGTGATGGGATCTCGGCTCACTGCAAGCTCCAGCTCTCTGCAAGCTCCGCCTCCAGGGTTCACGCCATTCTCCTGCCTCAGCCTCCCAAGTAACTGGGACTACAGGCGCCCGCCACCACGCCCGGCTAATTTTTTGTATTTTTAGTAGAGACAGGGTTTCACCGTGTTAGCCAGGATGGTCTCATCTCCTGACCTCGTGATTCGCCCGCCTCAGCCTCCCAAAGTGCTAGGATTACAGGCGTGAGCCACCGCGCCCGGCCTGATGCTATTTTTTATTTTAGACATTCCATTTGGTGTGTAGTAATATCTCACTGTGGCTTTAATACGCATTTTCTTAATGGCTAATGACATTGTTCAATTACTTTGTCAGCTGTATATCCTTTTCATTGAAATGTCTCTTTATGTTTTTTTGCCCAGTTTCTAGTTGGATTGTTTCTTCATTTTACTGCTGAGCTTTGAGAATTCTTTATATATTCTAGATACTAGCTTTTTGTTCAGATATGTGGTATGCAAATACTTTCTCCCACTCTTTCTCTAAGAGGAATGGGATCTTTTGTAGAGTAAAAATTTTCAATTTCAATGAAGTCCAATTTAAAAAGTTTTCCTTTTATAGAATGTGCTTATGGTGTTAAGCCTACTAATTTTTTGTTTAGGCCTAGATAACAATGATTTTCTTCTCTGTTGTTTTTTAGTAATTTTATATTTTATATTTAAGTCTGTGATCAATTTTGACGTAAGTTTTATGTAACGTGTGAGGTTTAAACCATGTTTTTTTTTTTTTTCCCTTAAGAATGTCCAATTGTTTCATCATGATTTGTTGAACAGGCTGTCCATAAATTTGCTTTTGGACTTTTGTCAGAAATGAATTGAATTTACTTCTAAGTTGTCTATTTTGTTTATTTAATCTACATGTCAGTCCTTTTACTGATGTTATACAGTTTTGTCTCATGTTATATACTAAGTCTTGCATTAGATAGACTGATTTCTCTCACTTTATTCTTCTTTATCAAAATTGCTTTAGCTATTAGTATGTCTCTCCATTTATTTAGGTCTTTCTTTGATTTATTGCATTAGTGTTGTTTTCATTTTTAGTATTCATATCTTGTCCATATTTTGTTAGACTGATACCTAAGAATATCATTTTTAGATACTGTAAATTACACTGTATTTTTAATTTTGGCATTCATATTTTCATTGCTAGTATGTAGAAATACAATTGATTTTCTTATGTTTTTTGTGTACCCTACAACGCTGCTGAACTCATTAGTTTATAAGTTTTTGTAGTTTTTCATCTATTTTTTCTAAATAGATAGTCATGTCATTTTTAAAGAGAGACAGTTTTATTTCTTCCTTTCTGATCTGTATACTTTTCATTTCCTTTTCTTGATTTATTGAGCTGGATAGAACTTTCAGAACAATGTTGAACAAGAGTGTTGCGAGTTGACATCTTTGTTGTGTTCCCATAGTAAGAGAAGAGCATTTAATCTTTTCTCATTAATTATAATGTTAGCTGTAGGTTTTGTGGTAGATGTGCTTTATCAAGGTGAGAAAGTTTCTACTTCTATTTTTGTGAAGTTTTTTTTTTTTAAATCCTGAACAGGTGTTGAATTTTGATAAGTGATTTTTCTGCATGAAATGATATGATTATATAAATTACTTCTTTAGCTTTTTTATATGCTGGATTATATTTATTGTTTTCCATATATTGAGCCAGGCTTGCATCTCTGAAATAAATTCTATTTGGTTACACTATATGGTTCTTTGTATATATTGTTGAATTCTGTATGCTAATATTTGGTTAATGATTTTGCATCTATGTTTATGAGGAACATCAGTCTATAGTTTTCTTTCTTCTCTCCCTCCCTCCTTTTGTCTCCCTCTTCCCCCGCTCCTCTCTTTTGTTTTACATTCTGTTTGTCTGGTTTTGGTTTCAGGGTAATACAAGTTTCGAAAAATGAAGGTGCTTCTATTTTCTGGAAAAGAGTGTAATAGAATCAGAATTCATTTTCCTTGAAATCTTTAGTAAAATTCTCTGGTAAAACAATCTTGACCACAAGAGATTTTTTGGGGGGAAGTTTTAAAATTATGAACTCAACTTTCTTATTATTTATAAGGCTATTCAAATAATCTATCTCATATTAGGTGAGAGGTGGTCATTTCTGTAATTTAAGGAATTAAACAATTTTATCTATGTTATTAAATTTATATGGATAGAGTTGTTCATAGTATTCACAATCCTTTTGTTTTCTGAAGGCATAGTAATGGTATCCTCTGTTTCATTCCTGATATTGGTAATTTGTGTCTTCTGTTTTTTCTTTCTCAGCCTTCCTTAAAGGTTTTTCAATTTTATTGATCTCAAAGAACCAGATATTTGTTTTATTAATTTTCTCTATAATTTTTCTGTTTTCGATTTCATTCATTTCTGCCTTTTATCTTTTTTCCTTTCTTTTCCTTGCTTTGGGTTTAGGTTGATCTTCATTTTCTTTTTTGGTGGTAGTGTTTAGTTTATTAATTTGAGACTTGTTCCTCTTTTCTTGTCTTTGGTCTAAATTGGAAGTTTTTAAAAAACTTTTTGTGGGTACATAGTAGGTGTGTGTGTGTATATATATATATATATATATGGGGCATATGAGATGTTTTGATACAGGCATGCAATGTGAAATAAGCACATCATGGAAAATGGGGTATCCATCCCCTCAAGCATTTATCCTTTGTGTTACAAACAATCCAAACATACTCTTTAAGTTACTTTAAAATACCCAATTAAGTTATTATTGGCTACAGTCACCCTGTTGTTCTATCAAATAGCAGGTCTTATTCATTCTTTCTAACTATTTTTTTTGTACCCATTAACCATCCCCACCTCCTCCCAACCCTCCCACTACCCTTCTCAGCCTCTAATAAACATCCTTCTACTCTCTATGTCCATGAGTTCAATTGATTTAATTTTTAGATTTCCCAAATTAGTGAGAGCATGTGATATTTGTCTTTCTGTGCCTGACTTATTTCACTTAACATAATAATCTCCAGTTCCATCCATGATGTTGCAAACAACTGGATCTCATTCTTTGTTTATGGCTGAATCTCTATTGTGTATATGTACCACATTTTCTTTATCCATTCATCTGTTGATGGACACTTAGATTACTTCCAGATCTTAGCTATTGTAAATAAACAGTGCCACAACAAACATAGGAGTGCAGATATCTCTACAATGTACTGGTTTCCTTTCTTTTCCATATATACCTAGCAGTGGTATTGCTGGATCATATGGTAGCTCAATTTTTAGGTTTTTGAGGAACTTCCATACTGTTCTCTACAGTGGTTGTACTAATTTATGTTCCCATGAACAGTGTACAAGGGTACCCTTTTCTCCACATCTTTGCCAGCATTTGTTATTGCCTGTCTTTTGGATAAAAGTAATTTTAGCTGGGGTGAGATAATATCTCATCGTAGTTTTGATTTGCATTTCTCTGATGCTCAATGATGTTGAGTACCTTTTCATATGCCTGTTTGCCATTTGTATATCTTCTCTTGAGAAATGTCTATTAAAATTTTTGCCTATCTTTTTGATTGGGTTATTAGATTTTTTTCTATAGAGTTCTTTGAGCTCCTTAAATATTCTGGTTATTAATCCCCTGTCAAATATTTTCTCCCATTCTGTGGATTGTCTGTTCACTTTGTTGACTGTATCATTTGCTGCGCAGAAGCTTTTTAATTTGATGTGATCCTATTTGTCAATTTTTGCTTTGGCTGCCCATACTTATAGGGTATTGTTCAAGAAATCTTTGCCCAGACCAATGTCCTGGAGACTTTTCCCAATGTTTTCCTGTAGTATTTTTGAGGTCTTAAATATAAGTCTTTAATCCATTTTGACTTGATTTTTGCACATGACGATAGGTAGAGTCTAGTTCATTCTTCTGAATATGGATATCCAGTTTTCCCAGCAACATTTATTGAAGAGACTGTCTTTTCCTTAGTGTGTGCTTTTGGCACCTTTGTCAAAAATGAGTTCACTGTAGGTTTATGAATTTGTTTCTGGATTCTCTATTCTGTTCCATTGGTCTATGTGTCTGTTGTTATGCCAGTACAATGTTCTTTTGGTTATTATAGCTCTGTAGTATAATCTGAAGTAACATAATGTGATTCCTCCAATTTGTTTCTTTTTTCTTAGGATAGCTTTGGCTATTCTAGGTCTTTTGTGCTTTGATATAAATTTTAGGATTTTTAAAAATATTTCTGTAAAGAATGTCATTGGTATTTTGATAGGGATTGCATTGAATCTGTAGGTTGCTTTTGGTAGTATGGATATTTTAACAATATTGATTCTTTCAATCCACAAACATTAATTATTTTTCTATTTTTTGGTGTCCCCTCCTCTTCAATTTCTTTCATCAATGTTTTATCCTTTTCATTATAGAGATCTTTCACTTCCTTGGTTAATTCCTAGATATGTTATTTTTAGCTGTTGAAAATGGAATTACTTTCTTGATTTGTTTTTCAGATCGTTTGCTTGAAATATAGAAATACTACTGATTTTTGTATGTTGACTTTGTATCCTGAAACTTTACTGAATTTGCTTGTGAGTTCTAATACTTTTTATGTGGAATGTTTAGGTTTTTTCAAATATAACATTATATCATCTGCAAACAAGGCTAATTTTACTTATTCCTTTCCAATTTGTATGCCCTTTATTTTTTCTCTTCACTGATTGCTCTAGCTAGGATTTCCAGGACTTATGTAGAATAACATAGTGAAAGCTGGCATCCTTGTCGTGTTCCAGATCTCAGAGAAAAGGCTTTCAGTTTTTCCCCATTTAGTATAATACTAGGTATGGGTCTGTCACATATGGCTTTTATTTTGTTAAGGTATATTTTCAAGTTTTTATTATGAAGGGATGTTAAATTTTATCAAATGCTTTTTCAGCATCAATTGAAATGATGATATGATTTTTATCTTTCATTTTGTTGACATGATGTATCACATTGATTTGCATATGTTAAGCCATTCTTCCATCTCTGGAATAACTCTCACTTTGTCATGATGAAAGATCTTTCTAATATATTGTTGAATTTGGTTTGCTAGTATTTTGTCAAGTATTTTTACATCAGAATTCATCAGAGCTATTGGCCTGTAGTTTTCTTTTTTTGATGTGTCTCTGGTTTTGGTATCAGGGTAATACTGGCCTCATAGAATAAGTTTGGAAGTATTCCCTTCTCCCCTATTTTTCCAAAAAGTTTGAGTAGGATTGGTATTTGTTCTTTAAATGTCTGTTAGAATTCAGCATGGAAGTCATCAGGTCCCAGGTTTTTCTTTACTGGGAGACTTTTTATTATGGCTCCAATCTCAGTACTCATTATTGATTTGTTCAGGTTTTAGATTTCTTCATGGTTTAATTTTGGTAGTTTGTATGTTTCTGGGAATTTTTAAATTTCTTCTAGGTTTTCCAATTTATTGGCATGTAGTTCTTCACAGTAGCCATTAATAATCCTTTTAATTTCTGTAGTATCTGTTGTAATGTCTTCTTTTTCATTTCTGATTTTATTGATTTAGACCTCCTCTCTTTATTTCTTAGTTAGTCTGGCTAAAGATTTGTCCACTGTGTTTAACTTTTCAAAAACATTTTTTTGTTTTATTGATTTTTTATATTTTTTAATTTCAATTTTATTTATTTCTGATCTGATACTTATTGCTTCTTTTCTTTCCCTAATTTTGAATTTACTTTGTTCTTGCTTTTCTAGTTTTGTTTGTTTGTTTGTTTGTTTTTACTTTAAGTTCTGGGATACATGTGTAGACTGTGCAGGTTTATTACCTAGATATGCATGTGCCATGGTGGTTTGCTGCACCTATCAACCCATCATCTAGGTTTTAAGCCCCACATGCATTAGGTATTTGTCCCAATGCTCTTTCTCCCTTTGACCCCCATCCTCTGACAGGCCCTGGTGAGTGGTGTTCCCCTCCCTGTGTCCATATACTTTGCCTACTTTTTGATGGGGTTGTTTTTTTCTTGTAAATTTAAATTCCTTGTAGATTCTGGATATTAGACCTTTGTCAGATGGGTAGATTGCAAACATGTTCAGTGCCCTATCCTGCTGTGACTGAGCTGGTATCCTAGATGCAAGACAAAGTCCTCCCCAGGAGGTCTCTTTTGGAGCCATGAACTGTGTAGTCTGGGACTAGGGGAGGGATGATGACAGCACTCCCTTAGCTGCCCCAGGCAGCATCTCAGTAGGTCACATGCTCCGCCTCCACAGTCCACTGTCTCTGGGCCTATTTCAGCCCTAGGGCTTGCCTAAGAGTTTCAGTCCTTATGGCCTAGACTGCCTTTCAAGTTTGCTTGGAGACACAAAATGCTGTAGCCCTTAGTGGCTAGGTTTGCAGGCACTCAAGTTCGAACCACTAGGGGATTCCCTTCTGGCTATGAGTGTGGTAAATGCTTCTCCATGGGCGAGCATCAGCTGAGTTTGGTCTGGTTTTTCTTTCTGCTCTAACAGGACAACACTGAGTTCAATTCCTCACAATTTCTGTTAGGAAGCAGGCCACACCACAGGAGGTGAGCTGCGGGCAAGAGAGTGAAGCTTCATCTCTATTTACAACTGTTCCTCATTGCTTGCATTACCACCTGAGCTTTGCCTCCTATCAGATCAGCGGTGGCATTAGTTTCTCATAGGAGCACAAACCCTATCGTAAACAGTGTGTGTGAGGGATCTAGACTGTGTGCTCCTTATGATAATCTAATCCCTGATGATCTGAGGTAGAGCTGAGGTGGTAATGCTAGTGCTGGGGAGCAGCTGCAAATAATAAATGCACAGAGACCATAATAAATCAACTGCTTGCAGATTCATATCAAAACCCTATCAGCAAGTGGCAAGTGACAATTAAGCTGCTTCCAGTGGCAGGCTTTATAGCAGCAAGTGAGTTAACGTACTTCCATTGTATGGCTACGTCTGGTGGCAGGCCTTAAATCAGAATCCAGCACTTATTTTAGTCCATATGTGGTCCGTAGAATATTTACCACTTTCGTCTGTGCCTCTTTTCCTCACTGCACACTTACCTCAGTTACAGTTTTGGTAACCCCACAAGCTAACCCTAGGCAAAATGAGTAAAAAGCAAATATCACCAGAGAGCTTCTTTGAAAAGGGGGAAAGATCTAATGGTGAGACTCTGAGACCGCCAACAAAAAGAAAGCTGCGTTTAAAACAAAATACCAAGAGTCCTATTTAGAGTACAGGTTCATTGCAACAGGTGATTCACATTCTTCAAGAACGCTTTGTATAATATGTGGTAACTAGCCATCCGACAAAGCCATAAAACCTGCAAAACTGCTTCACCACATGGAGACTAAGCACCCTGCATTAAAAGACAAGCCTTTGGAGTTTTTTTTTTTTTTTTTTTTAAATGTGAACAGGAAGAACAGATGCAATTATTGAAGGCCACCACTTCATCAAATGTGTCTGCATTGAGAGCAACATTCTTAGTGGCTAATCTCATTGCTAACGCTAAGAAGCCCTTTACTATTGGTGAAGAGTTGATCCTGCCTGCTGCTAAGGACATTCGTCATGAAATTTTAGGAGAGGCTGTAGTTCAAAAGGGGACACGTGTTCCTCTTTTGGCTGGCACTGTAACTAGATAAAGTAATGAAATAGCAGAGGATATTGAGACACAATTGTTAGAGAGAATTAATGAATCACCATGATACACAATCCAGGTTGACAGGTCTACCGATGTTGACAAAAAGGCAAAAATGATTGTTTTTGTGTTATACATTTTCAGGTGGATGTGCATGAGGATATGTTATGCGCACTTTTGTTGCAGACAAACACCTGCAGAACTATTCAAGTCTTTGAATGATTACATATCAGGAAAACTGAATTGATCATTTTGTATCAGTACATGCATGGATGGAGTGGCTGCCATGACTGGACAGCTTTCTGGTTTCACTACTTGGGTCAGAGAGGTCACTTCTGAATGTGAATCTATGCACTGTGTCAGCCATACAGAAATGCTGGCTAGCTGAAAAATGTCACCTGAACTTAAAAATGTTTTGCAGGATGTGATTAAAATTATCAACCACATTAAAGTACATGCCCTTAACTCACATATGTTCACACAACTCTGTGAGGAGATGGACGCAGAGCACACACAGGTCTTATGCACAGACGTGAGATGGCTTTCTAAAGGTAGATCACTGGCCAGTTTTTGAATTATGAAAGCCACTCCAGAGATTTCTTTCAGAAAAACAGTTACCACTGGCAGCACGTTTCAGCGACACAGAATAAGTCTCAAAACTTGCTTCCTTGGGTGATATATTATTCAACATGCTACACAAACTCAATCTGTCACTTCAGGGGAGAATGACAACTGTGTTCATTTCAGTAGATAAAGTGGCTGCATTCAAAGTCAAACTGGAATTATGGGCAATGAGTGAACACTGGGATTTCTGACATGTTTTAAACACTTGCCCAGATTTTGAAAGTGATGGAGGCAGGGCCTTCTTACACCAGGTGGTGCATGATCACCTAGCTCAGCTTTCAAAGGAGTTTGAGCATTGCTTCCCACCACAAAAGACCCCCAAACTGGGAAGGAATGGATCCGTGACCCATCTGTGAATAAGCCAGGCGAACTGATGGTGTCCATGCTAGAAGAGGATCAACTGTTTGACACTGCAAATGACGATAGCCTTAAAAGTATGCTTGAGACTACAAATCTCCATACGTTCTGGATTAAAGTCAAAGTGAAATATCCAGAGATTGCCACAAAAGCACTGAAAAGCCTGCTTCCATTTCCAGCATCCTGTCTTTGTGAAGCAGGGTTTTCTGTAGTGACAGCAACCAAAACAAGATTACTGAGTAGACTGGACATAAGCAAAACACTTCAGATGTCACTGTCTTCGATCATACCCAGAGGAGATCATCTAGTTGCAGGAAGACAAGCTCAGGACTCCCACTGGTTCTGTTATGGTTACATAACAATTATTTCATTATATATTACAATGTAATAATAATAGAAATAAAGTGCACAATAAATGGAACGCTCTTGAATTTTGAATCATCCCCAAACCATCCCCTACCCTCAGTCCAGGGAAAAATTGTCTTCCACGAACTCAGTCCTTAATGCAAAAAAGGTGGGAGGCTGCTGCATTTAGAGCTGCAAATTTACCTCTCAGCACTACTTCATCTGTGTGCCACACATTTTGGTATGTTGTATTTTTATTTTTATGCAGGTTAAATATTTTATATTTCCTTTGAGACATCCTCTTTGATTCATATATTATTTAGAAGTGTGGTTTGAGTTTCTAAGTGTTTGAAGAGTTTCCTGTTATCTTGCTCTTAATGAATTCTAGTTTTATTCTCCCGTGGTCAGGTAACACACTGTAATGATTTCAGTTGTTTTAAATTTTCTGAGGTTTGTTTAATGGCCCAGTATATGGTCTAATTTTGTATACGTGTTATGGGCAATTTAAAAGAATGTGTATTCTGTTTTTATGGGGTGGAGTGTTTTATAAATGTCAATTAGATCCCTTTCGTTGATGGTATGTTGAATTCTTCTACACACTTGCTGATTTTCTGTCCAGTTATTTTATCTCTTGTTGAGAGAGGGGTGTTGCGGTCTCCAACTGTACTTGTAGATTTGTCTGTTTCTTCTATAATATCTACAAGTTTTATTTCACATGTTTTGGAGATTTGTATTTAGTGTTACTATGGTTTTTTGATTGATCCTTTTATCATTATATAATGTGTTTCTGTTAATTGTATTTGCTCTGAAGTGCACTTTAGCTGATATTAACATAGCCATGCTTGCTTGCTTTTGATTGCATGATGTATCTTTTTACATCTTTTTACCTTTAACCTGTCTGTATTACTATATTTGAAGTGAATTTCTTATAGCATTAGGTAACATTTTTAGATCCACTCTGCCAATGTTTGTCTTTAAATCTGTTTATTAGGACCATTTATATTTAATGTAAATATTAATATGTTAGGCTTATGTCTACCATTTTATTATTTGCTTTTTGTTATCCCTATTTTTCATTTCTGTTTTCATTTCCTGACTTTCTGTGGGTCACTTGAACATTTTTTTGAATTCAATGTTGATTTTTCCATAGTCATTTTTTTTCTCTTTTCGTGGAGATGAGGTTTCACTATGTTGCCCAAGTGGGTCTCAAACTCCTAGTCTTAAGCAATCCTCCTTCCTTTGCCTCCCTAAGTGCTGTGATTAGAGGCTTGAGCAGCTGCAGTCAGCCCTATAGTGTTTCTGAGTATATCTCTATGTAGTTCTTTGAGTGGTCATTCTAGGTATTACATCATATATAAAACATACACGTATATTTGCATATATATGTACACATATACATTATATATATGTCAAACGTATGTAGGTATACGATGTATATCTTATTACAGTCTACAGATGTCATCATTTTACCAGTTCAAATGAGGTATAGAAAACTTCTCTCTCTGTATGTCCCTTTACTTTCTCCTGCTCATAATACAATTTTCTTAAACATGTTCTCCATACATTTAGAGCCACATCAGAGTGTGTTATAATTTTTGCTTCAACTCTGATTAAAAATCAAGAGAAGGAAAGGCTATTGTATTTACCCATATTTTTTGCTTACTCTATCCTTTCTTTTCCTGATATTCCAAGGTTTCTTTTTTCATTATTTCCTTATATTTGGAGGACAGCCCTTGCCATTCTTTTAGGATAGGTCAGCTGGTGACTACTTCTCTTAGTTTTCCTTATTCTGAGAATTTTTATTTCCCCTCCATTCCTAGAGGTTATTTTCACTGGTGTAGATAGAATTCTGTTAAACCTACCAATGGAGGTGCTTTTTAAATTTGTTTTGTGGGGTGTTTTTGGTTTTGGTGTTTTTGTTTTTGCTTTTTGTTTGTTTGTTTTGTTTTTGCTATTGTATTTTTCACCTCAATTTTTTTTTTTTTTTTTTTTGAGATGGAGTCTTGCTCTCTTGTCCAGACTGAAGTGCAGTGGTACAATCTGGGCTCACTACAACTGCCACCTCTTGGGTCAGTGATTGTCCTGCCTCAGCCTCCTGAGTACCTGGAACTACAGGCCCCTGCCACCATGCCTGGCTAATTTGTATATTTTTGGTAGAGACAGGGTTTCACCATGTTGGCCAGGCTGGTCTCAAACTCCTGACCTCAAGTGATCTGCCCACTTTGGCCTCCCAAAGTGCTGGGATTACAGATAGGAGTCACTGCACCCAGCCATAAAAGTCTTCATTTGGGCCAGGCGCGGTGGCTCACGCCTGTAATCCCAGCACTTTGGGAGGCCAAGGCGGGTGGATCACGAGGTCAGGAGGTCGAGACCATCTTGGCTAACACAGTGAAACCCCATCTCTACTAAAAAAACACAAAAAAATTAGCCGGGCTTGGTGGCACACGCCTGTAGTCCCACCTACTCAGGAGGCTGAGGCAGGAGAATGGCATGAACCCCGGAGGTGGAGCTTGCAGTGAGCCGAGATCGCACCACTGCGCTCCAGCCTGGGCGACAGAGTGAGACTCCAACTAAAAAAAAAAAACAGTCTTCATTTGGTTCTTATTTGTATCTTCCATTTTTTGCTGAGATTTTCTAATCTTGTATCTATTCAACTGTCTTCATAATTGTTCATTGAAGCAATTGTGTGATGGCTGCTTTAGATTCTTCATCAGATAATTCTGATTTTTCTATCACCTCTGTGTTGACATCTATTGATCGTCCTTTATCATTCTGTTTGAGATCTTCCTGGTTCTAGGTGAGATAACTGATTTTCGGTTGAACCTGGACATTTAGGTTATATATGTTTTGAGACTCTGGATGCCATTTAAGCTTCTGTTTTGGCTGGCTTCCTCTAACACCACTCTGGTGAGAAACAGGGGACTCTAGTAAGCGGTAAAAGTCCAGTTCCCTACTAGGCCTAGGTTGTTACCCTAGCAGAGAATGTCTTTATCACTGATGGGCAGAGGTGGGAATTCCGGCTCCACACTAGGCCTTCACTGTTACATCCCCGGCTAAGAGAGGTAGGAATGCCTCAACACTGCTCGTCAGATAACCTTCACTGATGCCACAGGGCAGGGAGTGGCCTCCTTAACACTGAGCGATGATGAAAGTCCCGATTGTAAGTCTTCTCTGATATCACCTCTGCTGGCAGGGTGAAAACCAGGTTCCCTGTGTGGTCTCCACTTTTACTGCAGAAAGAGGGGACATCTTATTACCACCTGCAGGGATGAAATTAATTCTCAGTTTTCTATTCTATCTTCTGTAACATCACCCTGTGGTACAGAAGTGAGATATCTCCTTACAGCCTGGCAAGGGTAAAGTCTAGGGTCCCCATCTGGTCTCGGCTGTTATAGGGGGTAGGATAGGGCTATGGTTCTTTCTGTGGCATTCTGCCAGAGTAGTTATTGTCTACACGTTTTCTGTCTTACTAGGTTTTCCTTTTTCTAGTCCTTTGGCTAAGAAGACCAAGCTATTTGTTGGAACTCTTTTTTTTTTTTTTTTGGTCTGTGCCCATTGAAGTCCAGATCCTTCTGCTCCAATCTTAAGAAATATGAGGCAAAGAGAAAATCCAAGGAACTCACCCTTGTGTCATTCCTTAGGTCCTGAGATCCCTAGTCAGTCTTTCTTCTTCTCTTTAGGTTTCAGAGTCTTACTGTTTGTTTTACATGATGATGTCCAGAATTTTAGTAAAAAATTAAAAATGCATATATTAAATATATACAATATGTTTTGGGATACATATAATGGTGAGCTGAATACTACAGTCAAGTTAATTAACATGTCCATCTCTTCACAGTTAACGTTTTGTGTGTGTGTGTGTAGTAAGAGCATATAAGATCTCTCTTAGCACATTTCAAGTATATGAGTATATATTAATAATACAATATAGTCCCCATACTGTACATTAGATCTCTAGAACCTATTTATCCTACATAACTGAAACTATTATAGACTTTGACCAACATGTTCCCATTTCTGCTACACTCTGCCTGTGATAATCAGTATTCAACTCTGTTTTTATTAATTGAACATTTTCAGATTCAATTATTTTAGATGTGAGATTATGCATTATTTCTCTTTCTGTGTCTGGCTTGCTTCACTTAGCATAGTGTCATCAGATTTATCCATGTTATTTCAAATGGCAGGATTTTCTTTTCATTTAAAACTAAGTAATATTCCCTTGTGTGTGTACATATATATTATATTTCTTTTTCCTTTCATCTGTCAGTGGAAACTTAGGTTGTTTTCATATTTTGGCTGTTGTGAGTAAAGCTGCAATGAATATGGAAGTGCAGAGATCTCTTCAAGATACTGATTTCATTTCCTTTGGATCGATATCCGGCAGTGGGACTGCTGAATCAAATGGTAGTTCTAGTTTTAATTTTGTGAGGGACCTCCATAGTGTTTCCCATAGTGATTATACCAATTTATATTCCCACCAACAGTATACAGGGGTTCCCTTTTATCCACATCTTTACAAACATCTATCTTTCATCTTTTTTGATAATTGCCATTTTAATAGGTGTGAGCTGACATTTTTATTCTGATTTTAATTTGCATTTCCCTGATGATTAGTGATATTAAGCACTTTTTCACATACCCATTGGCCATTTGCATGTCAACTTTGGAAAAATATCTGTTAAAGTCCTTTGTTCATTTTAAAATCATATTATTCATATTTTGCTATTGAGCTATATAAGTTTCTTATAGATCTTGCATATTAACCCCTTACTAGATATACATTTTCCAAATATTTTCTCCCAATTCACCCCAATCCAGGTTGCTTTTTCATTTTGTTGATTGCTTCCTTTGCTACGCAGAAGCTTTTTAGTTTGGTGTGATCCAACTGGTTTATTTTTGCTTTTGTTGCCTGTGCTTTTGGTATTATAGCCAAAAAAACATCATAGCCAAGAACAATGCCAAACAGTTTTTCCTCTTGTCTTTTTCAAGTTTTATGATATCACATCTTACAATTCTTTAACTCATTTGGAGTACATTTTTGTGTATGGTATAAAATAAGGATTAAAAGTAATTGTTTTGTTTGAGGATATCCTGTTTTTCTAGTTTTATTTATTTATTTATTTATTGTATTTTAATTTTTTGAGATGGAATCTCACTCTGTCACCCAGGCTGGAGTGCAGTGGTGTGATCTCAGCTCACCGCAACCTCCGCCTCCCGGGTTCAAGCAATTCTCCTGCCTCAGCCTCCTGAGTAGCTGGGACTACAGGCATGTGCCACCACGCCTGGCTAATTTTTTTGTATTTTTAGTAGAGACGGGGTTTTACCATGTTAGCCAGGATGGTCTCGACCTCCTGGCCTCGTGATCTACCCACCTTGGCCTCCCAAAGTGCTGGGATTACAGGCGTGAGCCACCACACCCAGCCCAGTATCATTTATTGAAAAAACTGTCCTTTCCTTTTTGTATATTGGCTTAAAGCCCAGAACCTCTGAACATGATCTGATATAGGAAAAGAATCTTTGTAGGTAAAATTCAGTATCTTGAGATGAGCTCATCCTGGATTTAAAGTGGTCTCTGAATCCAGTGATAGTTGTCCTTATAAGAAAACAGGACTGAGAGGGGAAGGCAATGTGAAAATGGAGGCTGAGACTGAAGTGCTGCCAGTATAAGCCAAGGGAGGCTAAGGATTGCCAACAGCCAGAAGCTTGGAGAAATGCATGAAGCGAATTCTCTCTTGGAGCCTTCACTAGGAGTCAACCCTGCTAATGCCTTGAGAAACATTTGGCCTCCAGGACTCTGAGAAAATAAATTACTGTTGTTTTAAGCTATTGAGTTTTTGGTGATTTATTATGGCAGCCTGGGACATAAATACAACTTCCTAATTTGAATGAGGCCCAGAACAAAAGAAGGATCCCTAGATGGTCCAGGTTTCAGTTCAGGCATATCCAATGAGTGCTACTTTAAGTTTTGGGGGTAGAGCAAGATACTGTATGCATAAAACTATGATAAACCCCAATAGGAGAATCTCAGACTACTGGGGTTTTAAGAAAAGTTATGCCTTCTTCAGTAAGAACTTATTCCTCTTTGTAGAAAAGAGTTTATGGTTTAATTATCTGCCTTGATAAAAACTCCTGGTGATGGAAAATTGGATGATCATAGGATCCGAGTTACCTATTGTCTTAGTCCATTGTGTGCTGCTATAACAGAGTAGCTGGGACTGCATAATTTATAAAGCATAGAAATGTATTTCTCACAATCCTGGTGACTGGAAAGTTCAAAACTGATGGAAGTGAGGGACTTCTTGTTATGTCATAACATGGCAAAAAACATCAAATGACAGAGACGCAAACAAAGACAGGGAGATTGTGTTAGTTTTCACACTTTTATAAAGAACTACCTAAGACTGGGTAAATTATAGAGGAAAGAGGTTTAATTGACTCACAGTTCTTCATGACTGGGGAGGCCTCAGGAAACTTGCAATTATGGCAGAAAAGGGAGTAGGCACGTTTTACACGGTGGCAGGCAAGAGAGAATGTGTGAAGGAGAAACTGTCAAACACTTATAAAACCACCAGATCTCCTGAGAACTCACTCACTATCACGAGAACAGCATGGGGGAAACTGCCCCGATTATCTAATCACCTCCCTCCCTCGTCACCCGGCGATTACAGGTTCCTATTCTGACATGTGAGGATTACAATTAGAGATGAGATTTGGATGGGGACATAGAACTAAACCATAGCAGAGGTAAAGAGAGAGAGAGAGAGAGAAAGAAAGAACTTCAAACATGTCCTTTCATAAAAATCCCACTTCCTGGATACCAGCGTTAATCCATTCAGGGGATCAGAGCCCTCATGATCTAATTACCTGTTAAACGGCCCCCCTTCCAACACTTCTGCACTGGGATCATGTTTCTAAAACATAAACTTTGGGGAATATATTCCAATCATAGGACCCATTATGAACTGCATGTCTAATCCATGTAGCAAAACGTCATGAGGAAGTGGTGTATAGATATGAGGCCTGCACAAGCCCTAAAGGCACAAATAAATTACATCAACACATGACTCGCATTTGTTGCATGCCTACTCCCACCAACCGTATCATGAAAGATTATCTATTACACTCTGTATGCCAAGAGAGCAAGTGGCTTCTTCAGATTGCTAAATGTTTCCATCCAAGACTGTGATAGAGTCATGGAAATAAATCCTAATTCAGTCCAACCTGAAAGGGCGGGAAAAAGGAGGTATCCTCCTGAGTCACTGGGGAAAAGTCCATGATATTGTTCTTGATTATAAACTGGATTATGATAAAGATGCCAGAAAAACTGCTGAAAGAAATTCAACAAAGATCCCAGAGAAATGCAGAACATCAGAGTATAGGTGAAAAATATGATGAGGGAAAGAGATCAAAGGAAGGGGAGAAAGGGTGAAGAAGGCTTGAAAACAAAGTGAAAGGGCCCAATGGGAGCAAGAAAACAGATGACTTTCCAGAGCTCAGTTAACTTTATCTAGGTGGCTTTCCTGGGGAATGCCTGGTCATTTTTCTGAAGGAATTCCTGAAATAGGAGGGGGCATGGTAGAAATGACAGGAGTGTCTGAGCTTAATGACAACTTGGTGATGCTGAAGTTCTCAAAGCTACATAGTCTCCAGAAGTTATGGTGGCTTTCTAGCATATGGCACAGAACCTAACAGGTAAGTTGAAGTAACAGAACAATCCAACATTTACCACGGTGTTTAATACTGGTACTCCAACCAGATCCCCATGGATTCCCCTTATTCTATTTTTAGGGCCCCAGAACTTTGAGGAACTTTTGGTCTTAAGAGCCAGCGTATGCTCTTCTTATTGTAGAGGACTGTTCATGGCAGAGTCTGAGAATTTACTTTCTCCTAAACCAACGATGGGTTTGGAAGTTTTATAATCCTGTAACCCTTACCAAGGGACAGCACAGTGGTGAGTTCAACAGACACTCCTGTGGGAGAAACTGAAGCAACTCCCTGAAAAACTTGACCTGAAATCTTGCTCCTGCTTGGCTTCCCCATTCTTTCACAGGTTTCCCTTGGGATTTCTTTATTGTAGTTTACCTGTACAACACTCCCCATCCTTTTTTTTTTTTTTTTTTTTTAAGACAGAGTCTTGCTCTGTCACCCAGGCTGGACTGCAGTGGTGCGATCTTGGCTCACTGCAATTTCCGCCTCCCGGGTTCACGCCATTCTCCTACCTCAGCCTCCAGAGTAGCTGGGACTACAGGCGCCTGCCACCGCGCCCGACTAATTTTTTTGTATTTTTAGTAGAGACGGGGTTTCACCATGTTAGCCAGGATGGTCTCGATCTCCTGACATCGTGATCCGCCCGCCTTGGCCTCCCAAAGTGCTGGGATTACAGGCGTGAGCCACTACGCCCGGCCACACCCCCCATCTTAAAGTCTGCTTTGGGGGCAGTTGGCTTCTAACACTAATCAAGCTCATCAGTAAATAAACTTTCAAATTTAACTATCTAATAGGGCTTTCTCTGGCTTAGAGATGGCCGCCTTCTTGCTGTGTTCTCACATGGTCTGTCTTCTCTGCATGCCTGCATCCTGGTGCCTTTTTGTGTGTCCAAATTTCTTTTAAGGGCATCAGTCAGATTGAAGTAGGACCTACCCCAAAGGCCTCATTTTAATTTAATTACCACGTTGGAGGACCTGTCTCCAAATACAGTCACATTCTGAGAGACTGGCTGTTGGGGCTTCAACATAGGAGTTGGCAGGGGACACAATTCAGCCCTTGAGAGTTGCATATGGGTTAAGAATTTCAAGTGTGAAATAGTTCATGCTCCAGTTTGAATAGGAAATGATTTAATCAGAAAGAGGCAAATATTACTCATTATTTACACAAATAAAGTTAGTGTTTGGTTAAAAGCTACTGAGGTATTTTGATTTGTTTTTAAACTGTCATTTGTTTAAAAAGATTTATTTTGATAAGATGTTTGGAGCCACTTGTATAGGATTTGGTAGGGACTTGAATTGCCTGGTAGGGAAATAGCCATCTTTTTATAATCTTATATAACATAAGCCCCCGTGAAAAAATTAAAAATAGACTGGCTGAAGAGAATTAAAATCTTGCAATGTAATGAAGAGCATCATTGTGTAATTGTACAAGAGGGTTGATTTATCATCAGGTAATCTCATTTCTGCTTTTGTCCAATATATAACTGAAATATTTTTTAAACATAAAGTTAGTAAAAGACAGTTGAAAGGATATTGCAACTATACACATACAGGACTGGCCGGGTGCAGTGGCTCAGGCCTGTAATCCCAGCACTTTGGGAGTCTGAGGCGAGCAGATCACCTAGGTCGGGAGTTTGAGACCAGCCTGGCCAATATGGTGAAACCCCGTCTCTACTAAAAATTCAAAAAATTAGCCAGACATGGTGGTGTGCGTCTGTAATCCCAGCTACTTGGGAGGCTGAGGCAGGAGAATCGCTTGAACCTGGGAGGTGGAGGATGCAGTGAGCTGAGCTCGAACCACTGTACTCCCGCCTGGGCACAACAGAGCGAGACTCCATCTCAAAACAAAACAAAGAAACAAAAAACAGGACCACCAAAGGCTGAAATACTCATGTATGACATTTTGGGTCACCCCACTGATTAAGCACTCCAACTGCTGAAGTGCTGGCAGGAGGCAAAGTAGCCATGGAGTGAGCCATAGAGTCATTAAGCCATCAGTATCATGCACAGGCATGGGACCTGTGCAAAGAAGATGACTAAAGCCATTACTCAGAATTTCCTTCCTTTTTGTGGCATGTAAATATTTTAACTAACTTCCCTATTTGTGTGGCTTTCCACAAAGATTGCATATGCATTGGTATCATCTAACTTTGTAATTATTTTGTGGTTTGAAATAGAATTGCCACAAAACTGAAAAAAGAAATAGATGTTAGTCAGAGGTCTTAGGGTTGAAACTTGAAGAAAGTGGAGAGAGTATAGTGGCTTCCTTTTGGAAGTGGAATATGTTCAGTAGAATAAGGGTAAGCTTGTTTATCTTTGGTAGGAGCTTTTTATTGTGTGTTATGTTTTGTTTATGTCTAGACAATGGTGGGGTATGGTGTGGTGGGTATGCATGTTTTATTCTAGCAACTCATGATCATAAGAGCCTTACTTTTTGAAGGAATTCCTGCATTGTGTGTCCTGGTGGGACACTGTGACTTGGGTGTCTCCCAAAGCAGGAGAGCAGGTACTCTTGAAAGTCATGGTGTGGAGGAGTGGGAAGGTGATGAAGGTTTGGCTGGTAAGACATGCACAGCCAAGCTTTTGAATCTTGGGGAGCGGTTGACAGATTCACAGCTTAAAGTTGTCACCAGCAGTAGCCTAAAGACACCAGTGTTATCAGCTTTAGTGTCCAGTGGCAATAGTACCAGTGCCCATGACTTAACCTCAGTTCATCCTGTGGTTTGAACTTGCCTGTGTTTTTGGATCCCAGTCTTTGTTGGTTTAGCTCTGATTATCTGGTCTTCTGTGAATTTTGAGAGTTAACCCAAGACCCTCCAAATACATTCCTTTTTGCTTGAGTTAACCAAATTCTTTTGCTGTGGTTTGCAGTATTACATTCTGATTAATAAACTCTATTTCTATGTTCATTCTCTCATTTTTCCCTCCTAATTTTCCAAGGCTAATTCTGCCTTTTCTGAAATGTTCCCACTTTGGGTATCGTTTTTCCCGTAAATATCTGCAGTACAGAACACCACTAACCAACACCCACTACCAGCACTTTTTTCTGCCCTCTGCTACAGGGCATTCTCCTGGCCCACCAGCTCTTTATTCTCTTACGCCTCCATCTTTTTTTTTTTTTTTTTTTTTTTTTTGGAGACGGAGTCTCGCTCTGTCTCCCAGGCTGGAGCGCAGTGGCGTGATCTCGGCTCACTGCAAGCTCTGCCCCCTGGGTTCATGCCATTCTCCTGCCACCACGCCTGGCTAATTTTTTGTATTTTTAGTAGAGACGGGGTTTCACCGTGTTAGTCAGGATGGTCTCCATCTCTGGGCCTCATCATCCACCCGCCTCGACCTCCCAAAGTGCTGGGATTACAGGCGTGAGCCACCGCGCCCGGCCACGCCTCCATCTTATTCCTCTTTCCTGTTTACATCCCTCTCTGGGTTTCTTCTTCCTTATTCACAAACTTCCTTTTTCACTAAACTGTAACACCTAATGCGCCAAATACAATGACTTTGACTAACTGTAGCTATACCCCAAGAACGACTGCTCTTCTCTCTCTTAAAGCACTCTATCTAACATAATTTATCATCTTAACAATTTTAAATTGTGCAATTTGGTAGTGTTAACTGTATTCGCATAGCTGTGCAATAGTTGTCCAGAAATTTTAATTGTGCACTGAAACTTTAGACTCATTGAACAAAACCTCCCTGCTTTCTGCCCCCTAGCAACCACAATTTTACTTTCTATGAGTTTGGCTTTTCATATACCTCATATAAGTAGAATCACACATTATTTGTCTTTTTGTGACTGGTTTATTTCACTTAGCGTAATGTCCTCAAGGGTCAACCATGTTGTAACATGTGACAAGTTTCTCTTCCTTTTTAAGGCTGAATTATATTCCATTGTATGTAAAGAACGCATTTTCTTTATTTATCCATCCATGAACATTTTGGTTGCTTCCAAATGTTGACTGTTGTGAATGGTGCTGCTATGAACGTAGGTGTGCAAAGATCTCTTGAAGTTCCTGCTCTTAATTTTTCAGACATATATTCAGAAATGGCATTACTGGATCATATGGTAATTCTATTCTTATGTTTTTGAGGACACTTCATACTGTTTTCTGCAGTAGGTGCATCATTTTACACTCCCACTAAGGAGTGTCCAAGGTCTCCAATTTCTTTGCATCCTTGCCAGTACTTGTTTTCTGCTTTTGTTTTTGTTTTTTAAATCATAGTCATCCTAATGGGTGTGAGATGGTATCTCACTGTGGTTTTGATTTGCATTTCTCTGTTGTTTAGTGATATTAAACATCTTTTCATGTGTTTATTGGCCAACTGGAGAAGTGTCTAGCTGAGTTCTTTGCCCATTTTTGAACTGGGTTATTTGTTTTTAATTGTTGAGTTCTAAGAAGTCTACCTATATTCTGGATACGAACTTATGAGATAGATGATTTGCAGATATTTTCTCCCATTCCGTAGGTTGCCTTTTCACTGTTGACTTTTTCGATGCCAAATAGTTTGTAGCTTTTATATAGTCTCATCTGTAGCTTTTATATAGTCTCATTTGTCTGTTTTGTTTTTGTTTCCTGTACTTTTGGTGTCGTATTCAAGAAATGAATGCCAATTCCAATGTCATGCAGCCTTTCCCCTATGTTTTCTTTGCGGAGTTTTAAAGTTTTAAATCTTACATTTAGGCCTTTGATTCACTTTGAGTTAGCTTTAGTATATTGTTTAAGGTAAGAATCCAATTTCATTCTTTTGAATGTGGATATCTAGTTTTCCCAATACCATTTATTCAGGAAGCTCTCCTTTCCCTATTGTGTGACTGTGACTCCCTTGTTGAAAATAATTTTACCATGTAAGCAAGAGTTTATTTCTGGGCTGCCTATTCTGTTTTATTGGTCTATATGTTTCTCTTTATGCTATTACCATGCTGTTTTGATTACTGTAGATTTGTATTATGTTTTGAATTCAGGAAGTATGAGAACTCCAACTTTGGTCTTCTTTTTAAAGATTGTTTTGACTATTCAGAGTCTTCTGAGATTCCCTATCAATTTCAGGATGGGTTTTGTCTATTTCTACAAAAATTGCCATTGAGATTTTGATAGGGATTGCAATGAATCTATAGATTTTTTGGGTACTATGAATATCGTTATAGAATTAAGTTTTTCCAATCATGAGCATAGGATGTCTTTCCATTTATTTTTATCTTCTTTGATTTTTTCAATAACGTTTTATAATTTTCAGTGTACAAGATTTTTGCCTCCTTATGTTTATCTGTTAATTCCAATATTTCTAGCATAAAGAAAAGATAAATATTTATGGTGATGGATATCCTAATTACCCTAGGATTATATGAATGTATCAAATTATCACAGGTGCCCCCAAAATATGTACATCTGTTATGTATCACTAAAAAATAAAATGAAATAAATTAAAAAAATGAAAAACAAAACCTTATTCCTAAGTATTTTATTCTTCTTTTTTTACATATTTATAATACTTTCAGCTCTTAAAAAATGTTCCCCGGTTTATTAAGTTATAACTGACAAAGAAAAATTTGTGTACTTGTGGTGTGCACTGTGATGTTATGGTATATTTGTACATTATTAAATGATTAAATCATACTAATTAACTATAATCTCACAGGCATATATATTTTTGTGGTAAGAACAGGTAAGATTTAAACTCTTAGCAATTCAAGTATTTATTAGGTTGATGCAAAAGTAATTGTGGTTTTTGCAAATACTTTTTTTTTTTTTTTGATGGAGTCTCGCTCTGTTGCCGGGCTGGAGTGCAGTGGTGCATTGGCAAAAAACACAATGACTTTTGCACCAACTTAATAATACATTATTATTAACTATAGTGGCCATGCTTTACAATAGAACACTCCATCCTTCAGCAGCAGGATACTATTCTTTTCAAGTACACATGGAACATTCTCCAGGATAGACCATATGTTAGGACACAAAATAAGTTTTAACAAATTCAAGAAGGTTGAAATCATACCAGGTTATCTTTTCCAATCACAGTGATATAAAACTATAAACCAATCACAGGAAGAAAATGGGAAAACACACAAATAGGTAGAAATTAAACAACATACTTCTGAGCAACCAAAGGGTCAAAGAAGAAATCAAAAGGAAAATTAAAAAATATCTTGAGACAATTGAAAATGGAAACACAACTTAGGGGATGCAGCAAAAGTAGACCTAAGAGGGAAGTTCATAGTGGTAAGCACCTTCATTATTCTACATTATCCTTTTTGATGGTATTGTAAAAGGGATTGTTGATTTTATTTCCTTCTGGGGTTTTCTGTTGTTAGTGTAGAGAAACACACTGAGTTTTGAGTGTTGGTTTTGTATCCTGCGACATTACTGGATTCATTTATTCTAAAATTGTTTTTGTGGACCAAACTTTTACCTTCTTCAATGAACCTTCTGCCCTTTATCCTCAGGTTCTGATTTATTCTTTGCTTTCTTGTTTACTATTTTTGAATCTAACAATGACTTGACAATTGAGTTAAAATCAGGAAACTGGAGTTGGTGATTGTTTGAAGGAAAGTTTATAGAGATTCATCTTCCTAGAAACATGTCCCTAAGAGCCTTTCCTTCCCTGAGTATTTTGTAATTGGCCCTCCTGATGGGGAGGATGAAAGACAGAAACATAAGGAAAGGAATAGAATAAGGGTTGTGAACAATTCTAGGGGAAAAGGACTATTAAAAAAATACATATAGGGCTGGGTGCAGTGGCTCATGCCTGTAATCCCAGAACTTTGAGAGGCCAACGTGGGTGGATCTGTTGAGGTCAGGACTTTGAGGCTAGTCTGGCCAACATGGTGAAATCTTGTCTCTACTACAAATACAAAAATTAGCCAGGCGTGGTGGTGCACACTTGTAGTCCCAGCTACTCAGGAGGCTGAGGCAGGAGAATTGCTTGAACTTGGGAGGCGGAGGTGGCAGTGAGCCCAGATCGCACCACTCCAGCCTGGGTGACAGAGCAAGACTCTGTCTAAAAATCAAAAAGAAAACAATTGGGTAATTAGGCTAGGGGATGCTTTTGAAAGCATAGTCTCAGTTGTGACCTAACGGACTCAATGACTTTGTTCACTAACACATTCTGCCTTTCATAGCCTCATCCCAGTGCTTCCTTCTGAGTTACTAAAAGTGATTATTTGTAACTCTATTTTAAAATAAGATTTCATTGATTTAAGCATTGAACTAATTATCCTTAAATAATATATCTGTTGGACAGGCAGGTAGAGGAGAGTTCTCATTATTCCTGGTCATCACCATGCTTCCATCCTATTCTATGCCTTTATTACAACACTGCCCTATCTAGGATGAAATTTATCTTCCTGACCATGAAAATTTCTCCTGAGACTGATGTGATTGCTGAAGACATGCTTGCTGACCACGACCTATGGAGAGTTTTTTAAAAATAGTTTAATGTATTTTAATAGCAAACTTACAGAAACAACACAGAAGAAAGACAACATTAAAAAACACGTACTGCATGTAGGACAATTCAGTGAGAAAAGTCTAGTGAATGGATGGTATCTGTCATTTGATAAAAATGCTACAAACACCATTTAGTTGCTGTCAATAAAACATTTACTTATTTTTTTTTAAAAAATCCAAATGCTAGCATTGTTCAGAAAAAAAATAACAGGTTTCTTAATTGTTATAAAGTTTAACCACTGAGACTTCTTCACTGAAAGGTTTGACTTGCATTAATGCTTCATGTAGGGACATAAATGCAGGGCATTTATACTAACAGTTCACACACAAACGAACACAGAAAAAAAGTGTCAATATCTGGTTTCTGTCCTCTGTTTTTTCACTGGCAATCATATACTTAGTTACCTTTTGACCCCATGGAAAAAAAAATATCTAACATTCAGAACCACCAATAACAAGAAGAAGAGAATTTTTCTCAGAATGAAATGTTCCCATCATAGAGGATTCTTAAGGACCTTCTCTACGTATGAGATGTGCTAGCTGGACGACTTTTGGCATAATTGTTACACATTTGGCATGGATAGTGCACAAGTTGGTGTCTTCAAAAAGGCCAACCAGATAGCCCTCACTCACTTGCCTCCTGCAAAGCACCAATAGCTGCGCTCTAAAAGCGCAGATGTTTTCAAGTCCTGAGCAATTACGTGCATCAGATGCTGG